>NC_000001.11:239820485-239972000 GCF_000001405.40 Homo sapiens | reverse complement strand
TTCTTTCTTCTTTCCTTCCTTCTTTCTTTCCTTCTTTCCTACCTTCCTTCCTTCCTCCTTCCCTCCCTCCTTTTCTTTCTTTCTTTGTTTTTCTTTCTTTTCTTTCTTTCCTTCCTTCCTTCTTCCTTTCTTTTCTTCCTTTCTTCCTTTCCTTTCCTTTCCTTCTCTCTTTCTCTCTTTCTTTCCTTTCTTTCTTGACAGAGTCTCACTCTGTTGCCCAGGCTGGAGTGCAGTGGCACGATCCCAGCTCACTGCAACCTCTGCCTTGTGGGTTCAAGTGATTCTCCTGCCTCAGCCTCCCGAGTAGCTTGTATTACAAGCATGTGCCACCATGCCAGGCTAATTTTTGCATTTTTAGTAGAGACGGGGTTTTACCATGTTGGCCAGGCTGGTCGTGAACTCTTAACCTCAGGTGATCCACCTGCCTCAGCCTCCCCAAAAATCCTTTATTTCTTAAAAGAGGATCAGATCAGAGTAATGACCAGTGGTTATAATAATTTTGAGGGAGAGATTAGGTTTTATTACAATAACCTGGTAGCTGTGCTTTCTACCATACTTGCTATAATCCTTAGCCCCCTGCACAGGACAGTGGGCGACCTGAAAGCAGAGTCTACACCTTGGTCCCGACTATGTCGCAGATTTTTAGCCCAGCACCTGGCCGAGCAGAGGTGCCATGTACAGCTGAATGAAGGCACTTTGGTTGCAACATCTGACAAAAATACTACGGTATTTGAAATTAGGACTTTCCTAGACAGCCCAGATATGAAGTCATCATAAACACGCATCTTGACAACCTACCAGATCCTTTAATCCCGACTGCCTTCCCACTGCAACCACCAGCCTGGACCTACTTGGTCCCAGGTATTTCCCAGAATCACGCTCTTGTTTTGCCTTCTCTGCTTACATTGGCCTCCTTCATTGGCCTACTCTGTGTTACTTCACTCTGGGTCTTGGGGGTCACCTCTGACCTCCCTTGGATCTCCCTTTTCTGGATCTCCCTTCTCTGGGGAGCCCATTGGATCTCCCTTCTCTGGCTCCCCTGCCATCCTCTTGTTTCTGGTTCTGCACTTGACTTGGATTGCAGCATTATCCCAACTCCAGTTGGAAGACGCCCCCAGCATGCTGACTCTGGGAGCCCTCACTAGCCAAAGCTACCCCCTCACCTCACCTCTTCTGGCATCCCCTCTTGGCATGGGAGTTCAGATGTCTACAAATGTGTAAGTAAGAAAAGTGGTTTCATGCCTTCTTACTAGAAAATAATTCCCAACTTCTGAAAAATTAGTAGAAAATTGTGGGTTTATTTGTCTTGCTTCTTGGAATAAGAAAACTTGATGACATAAAATAGAGACTGCAATATTCTGATACCGGTAACAAAGAGTAATTTAAATACTGCGGCCAGATATATTCCCTTCTTTTATGCTCATGACACTGTCATTTAAAAACATGGATCTTAAGGTAAAATTTACTCTGCTATCTAAGGATTTCTAGAATAAGAAAGTTTTTTGCTTTTTTGTAAAAATTCCTTTTAACACAAATGGAACTTTAGAAATTAACTACTCACATTGTTGCTTTTCATAAATGAGGCAGCCAGAACCCAGAGAAATGGTGTGTCTTGCCCAGTGTCACCAATCTCTGCCTTGAGAGAGTGGACAGGGTCTTACTCCACTTACTATCTCCAGATTCCAGGCCCGTGCTTTTAAAATAGTAGGAGCTCAAAAAATCTAAACAGAACTGAACCATATTGAGCAATTTGATACTGTCTTGAGATTTTCTTACTACTGGTTGTAGGTTCACCTTTGTTTCTGGTAAATCATGTTAAAATAACATTTCTTGAGCAGAGTAACTTGAAATAAACAAGCCTCCTTTTCTGACACTGAGCAGGGAGGATTATGCTGACAATTCTGACTACCTTTCTATATCCTCTCTGAGAAGCAGCACTCTAAAACCATCTGATTTGGGCTCAGAGCAGCCCAGATTGTAATATTATTTGCCAGTTAATTGGGGGCAGGAAGCCAGCTCTGCTGCCCCCCACACACACCAGCAGAGACTTCAGAAGACCTTCAACCACTGCAGGAATGGCTCTGATGGTCTCTGAGGCTCTCTTTCCTCTTGGTCAGCTCCAGGTATGAGATTTATACACGTTGGAGAGGTTCATGTTGCTGTTAGAAGGTAGGTCTTTCAGAATATTAGATTTTGTGGAACTAAAGTTTAACAACAGGATTTTACTTATAAAACAATAACTATGTGAATGCATAAAGCTTGGTGTGGCTATAAATCAGTGGTGTTTTATTCATTAAACAATTTATTTAATGATAAGATGGCCTAAATATATATTTTTCAGAGAAGTGAGCATGCCTGGTGATTTACAATGCACAGAAAGACCTGATCTTCTGGAAAAGGAACAGAAATAAATTATGTCAATATATCATGAAATGCAGAATTGCAGAATTCTAAAACTGCTCTTATCTACTTTTGCTGCAGTAACTGAAAAAATCATGGAGTTAATATGGATCTTTCACAATTTTTTGACAAATAAAAATTGTATATATTTAATATGTGAAGTCTGATGCTTTGATATATATATAGTGAAATGATTATCATAATTAAGCTGATTAACATATCCATCGCCTTATATAGTTACTTGGTGTGTGTGTGTGTGTGTGCGTGCGTGTGTGTGTGTTAACATTTAACATTATTACTCTCTCAGCAAATGTGAAGTACTATTAAGCATAGTTACCATAACTATACAGTATTAGTATTATTAAGTATAGTTACTGTACTGTGTATTTGATCCCCAAAACTTATTCATCTTACACTTGAAAGTTTTTACCCTTTGGCTAAATCCCCCAATTTCCCATTCCTCAGCCCCTCGCAACCTCCCTTCTACTCTCTGTTTCTTTGAGTTCAACGTCTTTGGATTCCATGTATCAGTGAGAGTATGCAGTATTTGTCTTTCTGGTCTTATTTAATTTAGCATAATGTCTTTTATGTTCATCCACGCTGCCACAAATAGCTGGATTTCCTTTTTTTAATAAGACTGAATAACATTATGTATATATCTCATCAATGGTATAGCATGTGTCAGTACCTCATTACTTTTTAAATGCTGAATAATATTTCATTTATAGATATACTACGTTTGTTTATTTGTTCATCGGTAGGTAGATATTTGGATTGATTCTGGGGTTTTTGGCTATCATGAATAATACCTCTTTGAACATCTATGTAAAAGTTTTGACATATACGTTAGCTTTTATTTCTTTTGGGTATTTCTAGGGGTAGAATTGCCAGCATCAGCCCACCCAGATGCATCCCATAAGGATTCCATATTTTATGCCTTTGCCAATCTTGAAGTCACGCTTTCTCGCGCGAAAAGAAAAGGTGACACTTTCTCTCCTCCTTTACACTTTCACACTCTTCCTATAAAATTAAAAGCCAAGTTAAAACTTAAATATGTCTATTTTTTAAGTCATGGCAATCAGCAAGTGATCCCATGGAATTTCAACTTTTTAAGTTAAATGAAAAGGTAATCTTTTTAATTGAAAGCAAAGCCAAATGGTTGCTGAATATCTATCCTGTGGTGGAGTTATTGAGGACATGTCAGTGATAGGTCTCCTCAGGCTGCCCACAGTTCTGTCTGGCAATCAGAGCTGGCCTTCACTATTTCTTTCCCAGCTATCTTATTCTTAATGTCTGAAGGGTTTCCAGAGCTACTTTGATCTATTTTTTGGACATACATTTTTTGGACAAAAAGATTTCACATTTAAGCTTTTTATAAAGAAATTTAATAATATGATTTCCTATCTAGTGAGCAAATAAATAATGTTATGTTGATTTGTACTTATTTGGGCCATTTAAAAATTGTGATAAAAGATAATAACATTAAATTTACCATATTAACTATTTGAAGTATACAACTCAGTGATAGTAAGTCTATTCACATTATTCATTTCCAGAAATTTGTTATTGTACCAAACCAAAACTTTGTGTCCATTAAACAATAACTCCGCAATCCTCCTAACTCTCATCCCATAGGAATCTCTATCAACTCTCTGTTTCTGACGGTGCCTATTCTAGGTTCCTCATACATGTGGAATCGTACAATATTTGTACATTTCTGCCTGGCTGATTACATTTAGCATAATGTTGTCAAAGTTCATCCATATAGTAGATCTCATTTCTTTTAAAGGATGAGTGGTATCCCATTGTATGTGTTGATGTTTACTTGTAGAATAAGTAATTTATATATTTTTTCCATGAACAACTAACTGAAAGGCAAAGCAAACTACTGATAAAAGAGACTAGAACTGGCTACAAATGGAATCCTGGCAACGTTATTTAACTATTCCCTAATTTAACCAATTTTCTAAGTAAAACAATGAAAAGATGAGTAGGAGTTGCTGCTTTTTGGTGTCTCACACGCTAATCATATAGACAATATGTCCACAGAGAGCACAGTAAAACAATTAGAACAAATTCCTAATTGCCTGTTAAGAAATGCTGGAATATTCAACATGAATTCTATCCTATGACCTGGGTGTACATAGAAACTTTGTTTATTCAGGTTTGCCTCTTGTTTAACTCAGCATATTATGATGAATTATTATTGTTATTATATTTTAAAGTAAGATGGAGTCTTGCTCTGTCACCCAGGCTGGAGTGCAGTGGCACGATCTTGGCTCACTGCAACTTCTGCCTCCCAGGTTCAAGCAATTCTCCCACCTCAGCCTCCTGAGTAGCTAGGATTACAGCTGCCCACCACCATGCATGGCTAATTTTTGTATTTTTAGTAGCGACGGGGTTTCGCTATGTTGGCCAGGCTGGTCTTGAACTCCTGACCTCAGGTGATCCGCCTGCCTCGGCCTCCTAAAGTGCTGGGATTATAGGCATGAGCCATCACACCTTGCCCTGATGAATTATTTTAATGGCCCTAGAAAGCCCTGCATTTAGTTAATTTTCCATCTTGCTTTATTGATCTGAATAGAGCATGCAATTTTTGTGTGTGTTGGGCAGTTTGTGTTCTGATGCTCATGGGATGCCACAGAAGTCGAGGACCAAGGATATTTTCTTGTAAAAACCAACATTTGCCCACTTTAGAAAACCAGAGAAACAAAAAAACGGAGATTTACTTTCCTCCAGGGAGATGCTGTTTTGTCTCCTGAAGAAGCTTGGTAAGCCTCAGTGTAGGATGTAGGTGATGGTTTCACATGAGGCATGTTTTAAAAATCCTCTCTGATACTCTTTTTTATGTCTGGTGGCCAATCTCAATCAAAGGAAGGCTTTCCCCTGCTTTGTGATGAGTGACTCTTGGCATGAAGCAAGTTAGGTTCCTCCACTCAGCGATGTGGTTTCAGTCTCAGACTTTCAATGGAAACAAAAAGGAAGGAAGGAAGGAAGAAGGGAAGGAAAGTTTAGATATATAAAGACCAATAATCAGATTGTGAATTTTGACTCACCATATTTATTCATTTAATAAAAAATTATTGAGTACCTACGATGACAATGCAATCAGCAGAGTGGACACTAGAAATACAAAGGTGAACCAGATAAATCTCTGGCCCCATGGAGCCAGACAGTCAGGAGCAGAGCTGGTCAGTGACAGAGCAGTTGTCCTGCTGGGACCTTAGTGCTGTGCTAGGGAAGGTTCCTGGTGCTCTAGGATGAGGTAGGGATAGAAGGTCAGAGAAGACCTAGACATCAACTAACTGCATTACATTATTTCCTTTAAGTGTTCAAGACTTCAGCAATTCACAGGTTCAAATTCAATCATGGATCAGGAGTTGTAATAAAGATTTCTCATGTCATTCTGGCACCTGGCAACTCATTGTTTATTCAATCAGAGATTATCAGAATAAAAATCAAGATTGTGTCATTAAACAAAGGAATGAGTTAAATAGTAAGTTTATGATATTAATTTACTAATTTGTTTTACAGATTGTAAGTTTACTAATAATGCAATGTTTCGTTAGGTGCTTATAGCAACATTACTTAGAAAAATCACAATGGCTGAAAACTCACTGGGAATCTGAGCTGTACTTCTGTAATCAACAGATATATATTGGGTGCTTACTAAGAGCCAAGCAGTGTACAAGGCTTGGGGACACAGAAAACAACATCTCTAGAGTTCTCCACTTTCTGTCTATCAGTGCTCACTCTCTAACCCCCATCAGCCCACATTAAGTAGGAGGCATTTAATGATGGTGAATGGACTTTGATCTCAGGTAGGTGAGATCTGTTACATTAACCATGATTTTTTAAGTCCTTCTCCCCTTTTAAAACTTCTTATCCAGCTGATTTCCTGGGATCCTATTTTTTCTGGGTTTGGAAATAGGTCTTCTAATGATCACATGTCTCCCAGCTTGAATTTGCAGCCATACTAGTCAGGGACCATATTCAGCATATCCCCTGATCAGCTGGACATAGGCATCAACTTGCTGACACGAGCACCGACTGCTCAGTCCTGGGCACTGACCCATCGGGATGGTAGCCAGGCCGCCCTCAGTCCTCTAAGGGTGGGATTCATCACCACCAGGTCTCCGGCTTTCACTCCGGTCTGTTAATTCCATCCACTGATGGATGCAGATGTCAGATCCCTGGTACCTCCTTGGGCCTTTGCTTCCTGCTTGGCTGTCCTGATGTTGCTGAGCCCAGGACCCTTCCTCCAGATCTGTCTACTTGGGCTCATGTTACTTCATTCTTTTCATGGCCTGTTCTGGTAGCCTTGGATTCCAGAATCTTTCCCCTAGGCTTTTACTCCAGAATGTGATTTTTCCATCATTAGCCCTTGTTAACCCAAAAACTATCTGTAACAAATCCTTCTGGTTGACCTAGAATCAGAGAAAAATAAGTCAACTCAGCAAGGTAACAAAACAAAAGGTGAAATGAAGAAATCCGAACTCTAATGCAGGTAAGAGTGAGCCCAATGCTGTTGCTTTAAAGAATGGGGTGCACGGCCTTTCCATGTCCCAGGCAGCTGTCTCTGCTACTGTCCATCTGCCCTGCCTCCCACTGATACACACTTACTCATTGTTCTAACATACATAAGTTTGTCCCAGTCCAAGCCAGAGGTAGACAGTAAAAACAGACAACTGCTTAATCTGGGGAGTTATCTTTCTAGAAGACTCAAATACACCTGCTTTTAATTCTAGCTTAGCTATTCACTCACCAGCTTTACAGTCCTTGTGAACTTACTTACCCTCTGAGTCTCAGTGTTCTCATCTGTCAAATAGAGTTATGATATCCATGTATTCAAAAAAAATGCCTGACATATAGTAGGTGTGCAAAGAATAGGGGCTATTTTATTAAATTATTCAAAAGTATTTTTATTAAAGAAAGCCTCTTGGAGACATGACGCCCTAACAGAAAAAAATGAACCTAGGGTCAGGAGGAGGCATGGGGTATTTGAACAACATTTCATTCCAACCACAAAGCCGCTCTGCCTTCATGTTGTTACCTTGTCATTCTAAACTCTGTGCACACACAAACACAGGCACATTAGTTAACACGGTAAATATAAAAAATAAATGAAATTTTAAAACACACAAAAAGCAACTCAAAATTCCTGAACAGATCTGCTAATCATTGTGGATATTCTCTGCTCTCTGTTGAGTAGCCAGCTCTAATTAGTCGGCCCTGTACAGAGCTAGACAGGCCTCAGTCACTTGCCAAGAAACAAACAGTGATGCCCCAAGATCCACAGGTGTAAAGTCACTACAAGGTGCCCTTCTACCACATTAGGATGTAAAATATCTGTGAAAAATTGAGTCACTGGGAGAGTGAGAAATAACATAGAGGCCTGTACATGCTGAAGCTTCCTTCGATCTCTGCCTGCCCCACCCCTGCCCTGCTGCAGGCTTGGTCCTGCCTGGTCCCTGAGCTGCTAAGAATGAAGCCAGGTGTCCACTAGGCCCTTAGCTCTGAGAGCGGGTGTCTGGTTTGGGTTTGATGCCTAAGGCTGCTATCCATTGTCCAGGGAGCTGCAGGCCCCTCTGTAAATCTGTGATCTCCGTCCAGATGGTTGAGTTTCCTGCCTGGTTCCTGGTTTACATCGAAATCTCATCTAAGCCTAGACTTCCTTGCTCTCTGCTGATTTGACAGGGGTCTAAGCACCGAGCCTGGCTCCTGCTGCTCTTCTCCGGTGGGCTGGATCCTGCCTCTCCCTCTCTCTCTCTCTCTCTCTCTCTCTCTGGTCTCTGTCTCCTGTGAAATGAACTTTCCTGGAACCAAAAGGAACTCATCCATCATATATGGTCAGTGTCACAGAGACTGTGGCCTCAACACTTAAACTTCCAAGACCCTTTGAAACTGATGCCGTCGCTGTCCTGCCCTGGGTGTCACATCCCCAGGGCTTTGACATTAGGATGACTGCTCCTTAGCTGGGGGCAGGCCTATCATCAGGTTGGTTTCCTCATTTCCAACCCTGACTATTACAGGCTCACTCTACATTCCCTGCTCAGCAGGTGCCTGCAGACTTGCCCTTGAGTCCCATCCTCCTTAGGGACTAGGATCACTTTCTCTCCATTCATGTTCTTATTCCCATGGGTTCATTTTATAAAAATTTTATCCAATATGTGTGATGTACAAAGCTCCGTCTTGGAATTCCTGAGAGATACATCCTAACATCATCTCGATCCCCAACTTTCCAAAACCACGGTGACACTTCACAGGAGTGGCTGTGTGCAGAGGAGAAGACAGGAAGCAGCAAGAGCAGCCCTGGGCTGGGTGCAGACGCTCGGCACGGGAGTGGGTTCCTCAGCTGGCCGTGTGCATCTTGTACCATGCACACCATCCTGAGTCTTCACAGTAAAACTGTGCAACAGAAACCTGCAATAAGGCTCTCTGATTTTTTTCAGACCATTACAAAAACCTTAAACCCACATATCTCTCATTTTTACATTTCATATTTGCTTTCTGTTTCACACCCAGGATACAAAAGCGAATTCATTTTCACCAGTTCATTGTCATGACTTGGGCGCGATGAATGAAATGTTTAGCAGCTGTGATACGTTCGCTGTCTTTGTGTTCAGTTCTAGCCTGAGTTTCCCCAAAGCAAAAGCTATCTTTACTATTGAGCATTTATACAGGCCTCATGGTTGACAAGAATTTATATTCTTTACACATGAAGGTATCCTTAAAGAACCAAAGTGAACTACATCTCATATCACGGAGACAGTGTCATCAAGCTGACAGAGGAGGCTTCTGGGAGAACCAACAATGCTGACATCAGCCAGTCTCATTCTTATTTCTAGGAGTTTTGAGGAGCTTATCATACCAGCGGTTTTTGTTTTTCCCCTTTCCTGAATTTTTATTTTACTTCTAATTCGGCACTGAGGCTATAATTTTATCATTTGGGGCATGATTTCCTCGAATAACATTTAAAAGATGCAGGTTTCTACTCTTCCTCCTTTCTTAGTAGAAGTTTCCATATTCAAAGCAGTCATTTTTTAATCATTTTAATTATCTAATCATCCACATCATAGTAAAGTTCTTAATATAGAAATTGATCTGGATAATTTTTGACTTCTAAGCCTTTTTACTTTTGATAATTAGTTATTTTAAAAGTTTCCTGCTAAATATCAGTCTTTAGATATTTTTGAATCTGAACACCAAGTGACTTTGGTCAGAGATACAGAGAGGAAAAAGACTGAATTTAATGGAAAATATCTTTTATGTACCTACTATGAGCATGGTATTGTGCTAAGTGACTTGGGATACAAAAGGAATTCACTCGCTCTCTCATTGAGCGTATCTATTGAGCCACGACTACCTGCCATAAGCACCTGATGTGTTGTGCCAGGCACCTGCTAGGTGCTGGTCTATGCTGGGAAATGTACCATGGATGATACTATCTCTAGAGCTTACAATAAACTTGATTAAAAGGAAATGAAGTTGCTAAATACCTGATAAATGTACATGATGTGACTAGTGTTCTACATGGATTATTGTTTAATCCTCAAAGCCATTATTACCTGTATCTTTTCTGGGAACCTGAGACAAGAGAGGCTGGTAACATACATGAGATTGCACTGTAAGTGATGAAATCAAGACTTAAATCCAGTCCTTCTAACTCCAGCACTGTTAAGTGGTGAAACCAAGACTTAAATCCAGACCCTCTAACTCCAGTGCTATTGGGTAGAGAAGACGGGACAATTCCTCTCTTCCATTTACTTATTATATAAAGAAAAATTGAAGTAAGAAATAAAAAAGTCAATAGGAAATGTATTTCCTGAGCTGTCTAGACATTCCCATGGATGAGTGTGTACTAACTGGGATAATGCGGGCAAGGAGATGGGGCAGTATTTGAAACAGACATATACTGTGTTCAAGTACAGTGGTTCTAACCACCTAAAGTTGTTAAAGGGCCATTAACTTTGAGTGACTCAATACACTGGATCCCCAGCAGACCTAACCAAAGTCTCTGTCCTGGCCAGTGAACAGTGAGACTTGTATCAGCTAATCTCACACAGACACTTCAAGAACGTTTCTGGGAATCGAAAGGTCTAGTACATGTTGAGATATCCTCTCAGTTTCTTCCCCTTTATGAAAATGTGGGGAAGTTATTTGAAGACTCAATTAAAAGTCAAACACATCTTGTATGGTTGAGATTTGTCCTGCATGATGCTGCATATCTCTTAGACAAGTGATCGCTATGTGGCATTACTACACATAGGTCTAATACAAAGAGGTACCTCTTGGTTAGAAGACAAGGGTCTAAAAACCAAAAGATACCTCTCACTCTCACGTATAATAACCTAATATTTAAGAATTTTACTTCTCCTTCCTGTAACTCTGAGCTTTGCTTGTAGGAGTGTTTTAGGTACAAATAAAGGAATGCTTAAAGCCGGATGCAAAAGTAATTCTCTTGCATTGGAAATTGAATCCGCCTCCTAATCATTTCACGGTATTCATTACACCGAAACAGCTGAATTGTTGTGGTGCTACTTGAAGTGGTTAATACTAACTACAAGGGAAAACAGAAAAGCTACATAATGGGTATAGGAACAGTATGGATAAAATTCAGATGATCCCAATGGAGATTTTTAAAATTTCATATTTTCATTTTTTTTTCATAAGAGTATGTCAGGATACATACACTTCAATATGCAACTAAGATGGACTAAAATGGATCCGATTTACTTTCCTGCCTAAAATAACTAAAAAACAAAATGTATAAAACATGCAAAATATATGAAGCAGCTGTTTGCTAGACAATGAACATTAAGCAACAAGGGACAGTGATCCTTCAAAGACAAGAAATAAACAGAAAAGCCAGATGGTTGCCCCGATTTACTACTAGGGAAAGTTTACAGACTGTGGTGCAGAAAAGGGAACTCGGGCAGTGCCCAGAATCTTGCAGAGTTGAGAAGATGAATCTGGGAACCTGCAGAGGACAAGGCAGTTATATCTTCCAGGACAGAGCTGTGCCAGAGAGGAGAAGATTGACAGAGAGAGAGCCCAGATGTCTGCAGAGAAATCCCTAGTATTTTCAGAGCAGTTCTGCATGTGATGAAACTACTCAAGTGTGGAGAAATAATCACCAAAAAGAATTAGAGGGAATTATCCTCAGAGCTCATACAGGGCTGGAAATAGTGCCTGTTCCCAAAGGCAAAAGTGAAAAACATTATAATTCATAGAGCATCTGCTAGAGGACTGAGAAGGGTGCTGTCTCCAGGGTGGGAAACATTAACAACTCTAGATTGAAAAACTGTTTTGATCCCACCAAACGCAATAAAAAGTAAGACCCAAAAGGATCAAACTGAAATTAATTACATCCCAGAGCAAAACTGAAGAACATTTCTAGCAATACAAAAATATCCAGCACACAAGAAGATAAAAATCCGTTATTTTCTTCCAATAAAAACTTACTAGGAAGGAGGAAGGAAGGAAGGAAGGAAGAGAGAGAGAAAGAGAGAGAGAGAGAAAGGCAGGAGGAGAAAGGGAGGGGAAGGAAGGATGAAGGAAGGAAAAAATGAAGGAAGGAGGGCAGATAGGAAGGAAAGAAGATACAACTCATATTAAAGAAAAAAATCCCTGAATGGAAATTGACCCATAATTAACAAAGATGATAAGATTAGCAAACAAGTAACTTAAAACAGAATTATATCCCAATTCATTATGCTCACTGTACTAGAGGAAATATACTAGTGAAAACACTGACCAAGTCACATTTAGAGGATATAAGAAAGAGAGAAAATAAACTTCTAGAGATTAAAAATACAAGGTATGAAATGAAAAACACACTGGATGAGATGAATGCAGATTTTATATTGCAAAAGAAAATATTTGTAAATTTTAAGACAGGGCAATAGAAATAATCCAACGTGGATAGAAAACATGAAGAAAAGAGTTTTATTAAACAAAAAGTGCATCAGTGAGCCTTAGGACAACTTCAAGGGTCTTATTGTAGCTGCAATTAGAGTCCCTGAAGGAGATGGTAAAGATAGAGTTAAAATAATTTAAAATTTGAGGGCCACAATTAATTCTTTCTTTCTGCTTGCTTTCTTTCTTTCTTTCTTTCTTTCTTTCTTTCTTTCTTTCTTTCTTTCTTTCTTTCTTTCTTTCTTTCTCTTTTTCTTTCTTTCTTTCTTTCTTTCTTTCTTTCTTTCTTTCTTTCTCTTTTTCTTTCTTTGTTTCTTTGTTTGTTTCTTTCTTTCTTTTCTTTCTCTCTCTCTCTCTTTTTTTTTTTTTTCTGAGACAAGGTCTCACTTTGTTACTGGGGTTGGAGTGTAGTGACACAATCATGGCTCACCACATCCTTAACCACCCAGGCTCAGACAATCCTCCCACCTCAGCCTCCGAAGTAGCTGGGATCACAGGGACACACCACCACTCCCAGCTATTATTTGTATTTTTTGTAGAGACGGGATCTCCCCTACTCCCCAGGAAGGTCTCGAACTCCTGGGCTCAAGCAATCTGCCTGCCTCGGCCTCCCAAAGGATGGGATTACATGAGTGAGACACTACATCCAGCCTCGAAATTTTCTACATGTCGAAAATGACAAAACAGGAAAACTCAATGCACAAGAAACCGTAAGCACAAGAAGCTTCAGGAAACGACACCAAAGCACACCAATTACATTTCTGAAAACTGGAGATAGAAGAAAATCTGAAAACTGACCAGATAAAAGATTTTCACAAATAAAAAGACAAGAATGACCATTGATCTCTATTAAAACTAACAAGTAAGATTTTGGGTAAGTAAGATGGGTTAGATCAGGTAACAGTTAAAGAAGACATAATCACCAAGGAAATTCATGGAAACTCCGAAGAGGTTTCCATGAGAACCATGTAAGTATCCCAGGATTAAAGAGACCTTCAGAAAAATTACCAAGGCTTCAGAAGATTTTTGCCAAAATGCTATAATTTGGTTAGAAAATTTGTGGCACAAATACCCAGTCAACACTGGATTCATTGTTTGTTGGTTTTGGGAGACAGTGCATAGTTACTACTATAATTATACTTTGTTAAATATGAGATTCACTTATATTTCACAATTAAATTTTTTTTTCAAAATGAATTGTCAAGCATGTTTTTTCTCCATAACTTCTTTGAAGAACTGGCCTCTAATTAATAAAGTAGCTGACTCCTGGTTCCCATTATCCATGCTAACCACCCCCTTTTGTGTCTGTCTCCCACAGAATCCAGGAGCTCCATGTAGGCAGAGAGCATATTGGGTCTCTGGTGGGAGGCAGAGCCCCCTCCCCCACAGAAGCTGAATATGAAGGATACCAGGGCTGGTGGCTGGTGCAGGGGTAGAGGCGTGGGTCATTGCTGGAGGAGGCTGTGTGGGTTGGTGTTTCTGGCTGTGTCCAGCTCCAAATCTGCCGGCCTGATACTCTGGCTGTCCTGAAGCTTTCACGAGCACCTCATGTGCTTTGAGATTTTCTCTCCTGCTCACACAAGCTGGAGTGGTGCTGCTATTAAAGCTGAGAACGTCATCTGTCTCCTACACATTCACGGCGGTCACTATAACTCGCTGACCTCCCCTTACAAGTGCTTTCCTGAGTGAGAGGAAGGAGCTCCGTGCTTGGAGGGAGACCAAACAGGCAGGGTGGCCAGACCTGCCCCCTATTCTCTCCTGGATGGCAGCGCCTGGCTGCTTTGCTCAGAAGCTGAGTTATGGAGCAGGAGGGGCTCAGCAGGGCTTTCTGGGCTCCCCGGTTCATTCCAGGTGCCCTGGTGGTCTCCACTGCTGGCTTGTCTACCTCCCTTTGTTCCCTCAGGGCTCAGCCCCAGGATCTCTGCAGCCCCCACTTTCCTCAGCAAGCATCCACCCTGATAAAGAGACTCACGTCTTGGAAACTGCAGCCAACACCTTGAAAACGTGTCACATTTATATTTTTGATCCAGAATGTTCACTTCTAGGGTACCATCTTAAAAAAAATGGAGATTTATGGATGCAGGTGTTCCCTTCAATGAGAGTGAAAAATGAAAAATGGCCCAATGTCCAACAGCAGAAGGTGCTGAGTAAGATGTGACACAGGGCCACTGAAAATGCACAAGGGCTAGAGGATGTCTGGGCAGTGTCCACCTGTGGGGACAGCAGATCACAGAGGAGCTGAGGGCTTGAAGTTTCCCCACCCAGCCCTCAGGGCACATGGGCTACACACGGAGGGCCAGGACAGGAGGAGGAGCATCTCATGGGGAGGGCACTGTGTCTGGGTGAAGGGACTAGATCTTTTATTTTATTTTTCATTAATTTTGAATTCCTTCTTTTACTATTAATATATTACATATTTTTGGCTTTGTAATAAAATGCCTATAAAAATTAAAACTAGGAAATATACATCAATTATTTAATAGGTGAGTGTTAAATGGATAGTATTTAATATGATGTGATCTTTTTATAATTGTAAAGATAAGATGAACATTCTAAAATATTTAAGTTTTACTTAAAGGAGAAAATAAAATATTTTCAATGTCCCACCACCAAATCTGATCATCAGGTGGTTTGGCCACATCTCTCAGGCTCTGTCTCTCTCATTGTCTCTCTCCTTCCCTGTCAGTCTGTCTCACTGCCTCACATGCACATTCATTTACACATCTGCGTGCCTGCATGTTTACATGGTATATATTTATTTTTTTAACAATAAGATCCTCAATGCAGACTGACCGTCAATGTACTTTTTCACATCAATTTCCTTGAAGTCTTTCCAATGTGGGCCCATAGAGACCCACCATACCCACCTCAGCAGCTGCTTGGTATTCCCTGGTTCACACGGACCCAATTTTCTTCACCCATCCTCTCTATGTGGATGTTAATGATGTTTCCAATTCCTTGTTATTTCAACCAGTGCTGTGATGAATAGTCTTAAAAACAAATCTTGAAACATGGTGCACCAGTGTCTACCGGATGAAGTCCCAGGGTTATCACTGCTAGGTAAAGAGACAGTGGTTTAGAGCTTTGATAGATGCTGCCAGCTCAAGAGAGGCATATCCATAAACAATTCTCCCAGGGGATCTGCCGGGGCCTCTGCTTCCCACATTCTCACCACTGCTGGTTGTCACCCGACATATAAACCTGCCAGTCTGGTGGAGACAAATGACAGCTCAGTAATGTGTTCAGGAGAAGAGGTCATCTCCTCCACTCCAGGGGGATGGCATTTGAGCTGTGCCTACAAACAAGGGCGGTGCAGGGGGCCGGCTGTCAGCCGAGGGGCTCCTGGAGGTGGCAATGATAGGATCCTGTGGCATTTTCTTATTCCCTTGCTGCCAGCTCATGCAGAGAGGGCAGACTGGGCCCTTGGCAGAATATCTCTGTGTGTGAATGTGTGTGTTTCTGTGGAGTTTTGTTTACTATATACATATGTATATGATGTTCATCTGTTTATAATTATAAAAATAATGTGAACATTATAAAATATTTAAGTATCACTTAGAGAAGAAAATAAAATATTTTCAATGTCCTACCACCAAATCTGACCATATTAAATGGTTTGGCCACATCTCTCAGCCTCTGTCTCTCTCATTGTCTCTTTCTCTGCCAGTCTGTCTCACTGTCTCACATTCACATTCATTTACATAAATGTGTGCATGCATGTTGACATGATATGTTATTTATCTTTTAAATGAGATCCTCCATGCAGACGATCAATGTGCTTCTTCACATACATAACATGTTTATATATGTGTGTGTGTATGTATATACATATATAAATGTAACTATACTATATATGTGCATATATGCACAGGTAGTGTTTGTGTCCCTCTTTCTGCATGAGGCTCCCTGTACTGGTGGTTCTCACCCACAATTCCTTCGAGCACTGCAGATGAGCTGCGGGATGGCCTGAGACCCCGCTGAGTGCAGACCCCCGGGCTGGTGTGCTGATGCAGGTATCACCACGGAACCCTGGAGTGAGGGCCGCTTTCCTTCTTGGTCAGTCCCTGCCATGCGAGTCTGGAGGAAGTAGGTTTACTCTGCCACAGGTGGGGCACAGCGGGTAATTGGAAACCTCGGGGAGCACTTCTGAATATTGCACCCAGCGGGGTTGGCTAAAGAGAGAGGTCATGGGAGCCTTTTTATCCAGGCTCGCGGGTGAAGTGTCAGGGTTCTGCTGCCCCAGCCATTACTGGGATAAGAATGGGGGCCGGGAGTGCTCAGAGCTGGAATTCCACTGCCCATCTGTGCCATGCCATATATCTGGCAGCTGAAGGCAACAACCTGCCTTGTGCCAGGGTGGACGGTAATGGGTTAAAAGGCAAAAGCCAGAGGAAACTTGCAGTATCAGGGGGTCGCCCATTCAAGTCCTGTCCACTCTCCACCATTCTGAGCTTCAGAGAACAGAGGAGAAGGGGGTCTTTTTGACTGGCGTAAATGTATACGTCCCCAGCCTTTCCTGGAAGTCCTGAGAGCCGCTCTAAAGCCCACACTGCTGAGTCCCTGGGGCTAGACACCTGGCACAAGGACGCGGGCGGGGGCGGGGGGGCGGCTCGCGGCAGCTTCCAGGCTAGCGCACGCGCAGTTAGCGTTCCTGGATCCTGGCCCCTGCACGACCCTGGCCCATGGTTGAAGCAGGTCCCTAGAGAGCTCTCATTTAAAAAGCTGCTGCATTCGTCCTGCTCAGGTGTTAAAAAGGGAGATTTTTCTGACGGAGAGGTTTCTGTGAAGAGGCCACGGCACTAAGGTTTATCAGATTTGTATGTATAACTGACCAAAAGGAAAATTGAAGCTCAGATACCATCACAGTTCAGCCCAACTGGCGATGGACAAAGGCCCTCTGAAGTCTGCTGGTGCGTGGACTGAGAAGAAGAGCAGACTTCCTGCCTTCAATTAATTGGCAAATAATAGCACATTCTGGGTTGCTTCCTTTCTCTGGAACTTAGTCCTGTCTGCATGAGAGAGAAAAGGGTGGATGCTCTGTACGATTCTAAAGATCTGGGGCTTTCACTTGGCCCATGTCCATGTCTACTTCTAATTGTCCCCATGCCTCAGTTTCTCTTAGGTAAACTACCCCCCGGCTCAAACCCATGTACCTAAGTGAGGCTGACACACTTCCTGGCTACAGGAGACAGAGTCTACGTGAGATCAGATATTGGAGGAACCACTGGTGACTTTCCCATGTGCTGTGCAGGGGAGCTTCAGGGATGCACTGTCTGCAGCCCACACTGGCCCAGTGGGCGTGCCCACCATGAACATGAGGCCCAGTGGCCCTGCGCTTGGTCCACCTGTGTCCTTCCCAGGAAAAGAGTCTGTGTGGGCCCTGAAGCCCCTCTCTGCCTCACCCTGTCAGGGTGAAGGGAATAACACTGTCCATGCTAAGCTCCTATCTACACAGTTCCAGTCCACCCGCCATTGGACATTTGGGAACCTGAGTCCCAGAGACAAGCAGAGACTGGTGAGGGTATAGGACGTGGGCATGTCCAGAAAATAATGGATTCCCACCTCCTAGGCCAGGGCTCAACCATCTCACATGGGGTTCCCTAAGAGACTGGGGACCCCTCCCTAGCCTTCCTATGTGGGCCCTGTACCTCTTAGCAACCCCATGGGTATGCACCCACATGCTTGATGATCACAGCGCTGAAGTAAGAGGAAAAGTGGACCCTGGGGAGGTAACAAGGGAAAAGTAAGAAAAGGCTGGAGGCATCTCTGCACTCTTCTAGCACCATGACCAGGACCATGGCCTGGGAAGGAAAGAGATGCCAGGATGCTGGCCTGGGGGAGCTGTAAGGTACCCGGGGGTCTGCCTGGTCTGAGACCATCTCACAGCAGTCAGAAGCAGATGGTACTTGGGGTTCTATGTCCACCATACTGGGCACCTTCAACTGAGACAAGACCTCCTAGGGTGAGGAGGGCTACAGGCAAGAGGGCCTCAGTTTACCTCCTTACATATTGTGATGCTATGGGTTGGTCACCCCAAGGTGACACTTTAGAAAGTGTCTATGGCTCCAGGTTCCCTGTAGATGACTTACTGAACTCCGTGGTCCTTGGAAAATGCTTTCTACTTCCTCAGAGTCTTTTGCAGCAGAGTGAATCAGAGAGAGACTGGAGGACTGAGATGTGGGGTAAGGAAGAACATGGCAGAGCACTGAACTACTCATCTTGAATAAGGCAAAGACCATCTGTTAGAGCCTTCAGTCCTCACTGGAAATGAACCCATAGTCACTGCCCTGGCTGTGGTGAAGTGGCCTCATGAGTGAACTGGACCCCAGAGCTATTGCTGGCAATAGGGGGACAAGGAAAGTTTGCGGGGTCCCTCTCAATGCCCTGGATCCTACAGCTCCTGCTCCTTTGTTCCCTGAAACCAGGGAGAGCTGATGCCTTGAAGTCATTCAAACAAAGGTGTGTTGGTTGGTGATTTTTTTCCCTTGGGTGCAGTGCTAGCACCCACCACCAGGGAGGCTGGGTCCACTGTGCTTTGCTGGAGCAACTGGCGACAGGGAGGAGCCACCCAGGGGTCAGTTGGAGCACCCAGGGCCCACTGAAGCAGAGCCGGTGTGTGAGGAGGCCTGGGGGTGGGTTCATGTGAGCCCGTGGGGAGGGGACAGGGCTGGACTGCACAGAGCAGAGCTGCCAGAAGCTGAGGAGCGGACGCAGCAATGAGAAACTCAGCCCAATCATGTGGCCGACTGCAGTCTGGAAGACTTCCTGGGTGTGGAGTTTCTCTGAGTTTCTCAGAAAGGCAGAGGGAAGATTTTTGTCAGTAGAAGGCACATGGAAAGTCAGTCATGTTAGTGATCTTTCCTCCTCTGGCAGCTCCAGAGCCAGCTCCAGTTCAAGCTCAAAAGCCACCTTCAGAGTGTGTGTCAGGGCTAGGTCCACCACCAGCTCCAGCTGCAGCCTTAACCAGCCGCTCTAGGGAAATCTGCAGAGCTGGAAGCAAGAGCAGCAACCACCGTAGCACCAGCTCCCGAGCTCCTTTGCAAGCTCCATCAACAGCTCCAGCTCCAGGGCTAAGGCAGTCCCAGCAAGAGCACCAGATCCAGCCATGCAGCCACTGCAGGCTCTGGCCCCAACTCCAGCTCCAGAGCCCAAGCCAGTTCCAGCTCCAGGTCTTGAGACAACAACAGAACCTGCTGCTGTTTTGTTATAACCATCCTGGTGAGTGTGGAGTGGTATCTCATTGCTGGTTTGATGTTCATTTCCCTGATATCTAAGGTTGCTCATCATCTTTCATGTGCTTATTCACCGATTGAATATTTTCTCTGGAGAAATGTCTATGCAAGTCCTTTGCCCGTTAGTAGTTGGATTGGTTGCGTTTCTGTCCTTGAACTGTAAAAGTTCATTATATTTTCTGGGTACAAAATCTTTATCAGATTTTTCACTTACCAATATTTCCTGACAGTCTTGAGTTGTCTTTATACTCCCTTAAGAGTGTGTTTTGATGCTCAAAAGTTTTTAATTTTGTTGACATACAATTCATCTGTTTTATTTTTTTTTACTGCTAGCGTTTTCAGTGACATGTTTAAGAAGCTCTTGCCAAATTCAAGGTCATAAAGATTTGCTCCTATATTTCCTTCTAAGACTTTGAGTTTTACTTATTAATTTAGTTGTTTCATTTGTTTGCAGTTAAACTTTTACATCTTGATGGATTAAAGTCCAACTTGACTCATTCTTTCTTGCATAATTTTACATATCTGAATGTGTAAAAAGATATACTTTCCAGTTAGTGGATAACCTTCTATTTGTTTCCTGTAGGAAATTTTTATTATTTTTCAAATTATATGAAAGAATAATAGCAAATAAATATTTATTTAGACATTCTGTAAGATGATAAAACGTGTTTTCAATGCTAGCTTGTGGAAATGTTGAGGTGGGGCACTCATTGTCCTAAGCAGTCCTGCACTGCCCTCTGGTGGCCTTTCATTTATGTCTTATCATTGACTTCCAAGGACCTTCTGCCTTTCACAAGGCAGATATTGACATTTTTGCATTTGACTTTGTTTCACTTAGATAACATATTAAATTTGGAGTTTAAAAATGTTTTATATTCTTTAGAAATAAAAATAAAAGTAGAAATGGCTTCAATAAATTAAACTCTAGCTTCGTAATACACTGTTACATATAATCGTATGTAACATGTATTCATACACATGAGCGGTGTGAATCATAATACACCGTTACATATAATTATTCTAGCCTTCCAGAATTCCTCATTATGACTCCATAATACGTTTTGCAATATGAATGGTTTATTTATATTTTATGTTGATCAGTATAAAGTGCTCAAATTCCCAGGTGTGTTAGTATTTAAATTTCTTTAAGGGTTTTTGAAGTATAATCAATTTCACAAAGAACCAATCAATTTAAAATGTACAATTCCATGAGTCTTGAAATATATTCCACAAAACCATCACTGCCATTAAAGAAGTGTACATGTATCCATTACCTCTAAAAGATTGTTCTGATTTCTGTTTAAAAATCCATTGTTAGCTTGATGTACAGATAACTTCCGTTTGTCCCCTCAGATTCACTCTTCACTTAGGGTGGAGGTCATCTGTGCAATGAAGGAACTGCTTGATCTTGCTTCACTGTACAGTTGGGAACCCGTAAGAAAAGACAGATCTAAAGATAGATGTTAAAATAGCCAGGATAGAGTGTTGCCAGGACTGCCCTGGAGGAGACGACTATACGCTGAAAGCTTATGGGACCTTGCAGGTCCATGCTGGCAAAAGCCTGGGCAGCAGGAGTGGGAGTCGGTCCAAGGCGGTGGACCAAGGAGCAAAATAAAGGTCTTGATTGGACTGAATTCATTGACATGAGAGTGCTCTCTATGGATTTGGGTTCCAAGTGTTGGGTTGACCACCTGCTAGTGGTGTTGATATTCTGGCCTTATCATGGCCTCCAGATAATGAGGTCAGAATGCTAAAATGTCCTTGCCACACTGCCGAGGGAGGGAGGAAGGAGTTGGAATGCATAAGGACAGGCATGGTGGGATGGAGCTATGATGTGCAGTCTGCTCAGCCATCCCTAATCTTGCCTGCTGGGAGAAGCAGAGCTCACACTTTTCATCACAGCATTGGCAAGGGAGGCGCCAGCGTCTTTGAAGAGCCCTGTGCATGGCTGTCCTTTACACAGTATGCCACACAGTATGCCACGGGGGCAGGATGGGAATTAGAGAGTGTGACCCACAAGGATACGTGGTGTGGGGTAATTGATCAGGTGTCCTTACAAATGAAACTGATGGATGGCCTACCAAGAAAACAATTCTAGATATGATTGTTGCTACAGTGAGGATTCACTGTCTCTAAACTAGTTATGAAACATAAGCCAGCAATGGCCCGACTCTGAGCTCCTATGCTGAGGAAGAGATTGGAGCCCTTCAAGGAATGGCCCTGCAATGGAGTCTCAGATATGTGCCATGTATCTTTTCCATCAGCTTCCCCAAATGGCCCCAAAGTCAAAGGCAATTACTGCTGTGACCACACTCTGGAAGAAGGGAAACATCTACATGCGTTTTCTGGAGAATTTTGTCTATATGTTCTGAGCATATTTTGAATCCCCAACATCAGAAATGCTGTGTGGCCCATCAGTTGAAGCAGGGGCTTTGGAGGTCTGGGGACAGGAGCTGCCTTGGCCGCAGGTTAAGCTTGTCCAGTGGAACCATGGCCTCCTCCTGTGGTTACTCTCCAGTTCCAGAATGGATAATGGGAATAGGTAGATTTAGCAACTGGTAGAATCTCCACATTTTTTTTTCTGATCCCAAAAATTTTGCTTATTAAGAAAGGAAGGCCCAAGTAGAGGTCCCTAGAACTACACCTTCCTGAGAGGAAACTGAACGCAGCACATCATCCATGGAGGAGACCGAGGGGTGAGCAGTGTCATCAACCCCTTGAGAAATGCAAGTTGGTAATGCCCACTGTTCCTTATTTTCCTTGCCTCTCTGGCTACTGGAAAAGCCAAGTGGTGACTGGGCATGGTGCCTCATGCCTGTAATCACGGCACTTTGGGAGGCTGAGGCAGGCGGATCTCGAGGTCAAGAGTTCAAGAACACCCTGGCCAACATGGTGAAACCCCATCTCTACTAAAAATACAAAAATTAGCCAGGCATGGTGGCGGGCACCTGTAATCCCAGCTACTCGGGAGGTTGAGGCAGGAGAATCGCTTGAATCTGGGAGGCAGAGGTTGCAGTGAGCCGAGGTCGCGCCACTGCACTCCAGCCTGGGCAAGAAAGCAAGACTCCATCTCGGAAAAAAAAAAGCCAAGTGGGTCATGGAGATGGACAGTGAATTTCCACAGACGTAATCAGATGGAGACGGGAACGGGAGCTGTGACTGTTTGTAGGATACCTCGACAGGAGCGATACTTCAGTTACAGTGTCTCGCAGAGGAGCAGGCCCGGGCAGGCTGCTGTTGGGGGAGGGACTGAGAATGGCATGAGACTCCCTGCCTGTTTAAAGGGCAAATTCCTTTAAAGGAAAACAAAAACCAAAAAAGACTATACTACATCAATGGCTAGTGTTTTTTTAAATATGTATATACTGATAGAATTGACCCTCAAAAAGTTCAATCTTTTCTCCTTCTCTCCTTTTAGCAAGATAATTTATTGTATTTTTGTAAGTGCAAGTGGCTCATTTTTAGAGTAACCTTAACAATGTCCTTCAGGAGCCCAAATATCCCACTACTATCATTTTTTTCCTTTAATTTTTTTATTGACACATGATAATTATACATATTTATGGGGAATGCTATATTTTGATACATGCAAACAATGTGTAATAAACAAATCAGGGTAATTAGGATATTCAAAACCTCAAATTTTGGGGCCAGACGCGGTGGCTCACACCTGTAATCCCAGCACTTTGGGAGGCCGAGGCTGGCGGATCACCTCAGGTCAGGAGTTCGAGACCAGCCTGACCAATATGGTGAAACAAAAAATTAGCCAGGCATGGTGGCAGATGACTGTAATCCCAGCTACTCCGGAGGCTGAGGCAGGAGAATCGCTTGAACCCGGGAGGCAGAGGTTTCAGTGTGCTGAGATCATGCCACTGCATCCAGCCTGGGCAACAGAGTGAGACTCTGTCTCAAAATAAATTTAAAAAAAACAAAAAAACCCAAAAAACCCAAAACCTGAAGTTTTGTGATTTCTTCTTCCTTTTTTTTTTATTTTTATTTTTATTTTTATTTAAGCTCAGGGGCACATGTGCCGGTTTGTTACACAGGTAAATTTGTGTCACGGGGGTTGGTTGGACAGATTATTTAATCACCCAGGTACTAAGCCTAGTACCCATTAGTTATTTTTCCTGACCCTCTTCCTTCTCCCACCTGCCACCCTCTGATAGGCCTCAGTTTGTGTTGTTCCCCTCTATGTGTCCATGTGTTCTAATCATTTAGTTCCTGCTTATAAGTGAGAATGTGTGGTGTTTGGTTTTCTGTTCCTGTGTTAGTTTGCTAAGGATAATGGCCTCCAGCTCCATCCATGTCCCTGCAAAGAACATGATCTCGTTCTTTTTTATGGATGCATCCACTACTATCCTTTATTTCCAGTTTTTATAGAGAGGTGAAGATGTTGCTTTTTGAGTTGAGGCTTAAGTGAGATTGCTCTGTGAGCTGATGAGTCATCTGTGCTAATGTTTCCTCCAAGAGAGGCAAATATTGTGGCAGATATAGCTCACTGTTCAGAAGAATTATTTTTCTCTTCTTCCTAAATACCTTGCATTGAATGTGGCCAGGTGACTGCGTTCTAGTCAATGGGATATGAGTAGAAATGATGTGTTGAACTTGGGTTGTGATTTTGAGATGTGGTCATGCCTGCTTTTGCTCTCTTCTTCCTCAGTCTGCTGGCTGAATTCTGATATAATTTAAAAAGTCCGTCCCTGAATCACATGTAGAGAAAAACTGCCTGTCAACCAGAAAAATCTACTTGGGCTGTTATGTGAATGAGTAATAAACTTATTATTATTCACTGTCCTATTGTATTATGACACTGAAATATTGCTTTTGTGGTTAGCATTAATGTAATTAATAGAAATGTCTGGGTGGGTTATATAGAATATCATTAATATCAATGACTTACATAAAATAAACGGTTTTGCTGGATAAACCTTTTGAGCTCCATATGTGTGCCAAGCACCTAAGACAATTAGTGTTTATTCACTCTCCACTGTCGTCTTCCGTGCTAGTAAAATGTCTGATTTTATGTGGGAACACACTGAGAATAAAGTTGACAAGTGGCCTCCATTGTGTGTCATGGGTGTGGCCATGTGACTAAATTATGACCAAGTGGAAATTCTAATCATTAGGACATAATCAGAAGTATCATGTGGTAGATAATGAAATCTTTCCTTAAAAGATAGACACTTTGTGCAGTGTGCCCTTTTCATTTTAGTTCTTTCTCCAGTCTACTCTCTGGAATGCAGGTGTGATGGCTGGAAGGCTGGCTGCTATCCTTAATCATGCAGATGAGTGCCCCTAAGGAGGATGGGGTGGTGGGCTAGAAGGAACTCAGGCAACAATGATTTCATGGATGACCTGTGTTGAGACTTATACATGAGGGAGAAATAGAGAGTGATTTAATTGTAAATCGCTCTTATTTTGGGCTCTGCATTATGTGTAGTCACACTCAATTTTAAATCAAATACGTAGTATTAAGGGTTAAGTAAATGTGTACCAGGCTCAAACATTTTGAAAGGACAGCATAAGAAGACACTATATTTGCATAAGTCTATTTGCTAAAAAAAAATTGTCATCTCCTAAAAAGTGCGGCCTAAAGAACAAGAGAATCATTCTTAGAGATTCAAGAAGTATACTACTAAAGGTCTATAGCTGTAAATGTGAAGGTGCAAGAGTCTTCACTGAATAAGTCCCTTGTAAATTTGCTGAGGCTTCCAGAAGAAAGTACCACAAACTGGATGGTTTGAAAGCCAGAGATTTATTGTTACCCAGTCTGGAGGACAGAAGGCTGAGATCAAGCTGTCTGCAATGTTGGTTCCTTCTGGGGGCTGTGAGGGAGAAGCCACTCCATGCCTCTCTCCCAGCATCTGGGGGTTTCCTGGCAATCTCTGGTGTTCCTGGGCTTGTAGATGCATCACCTGAATCTCTGCCTTCCTGTCCACATGGAGTTCTCCCATTTTGTGTCTCTGTGTCCAAATTTCTTCTTTTGTAAAGACACAACTTATATTGGATTAAGAGCCCACCCTGCTCTCTCTACCCCATTATGATCACATCCTCACCTAACTCAATTACGTCTGCATCTGCATCAACCCTATCTCCAAATAAGGTCACTTTCTGAAGTACTGGGGGTTAGGACTTCCGCAAATGAATGGTGGGGATGCAATTCAACCCACAGCAAGTACTAACATTAGAGTGGACCACTATAAAAACAATTCCTACTTAGATTTCTCCACATGGCTGAATGTAAAGTGAAACAGTGAGGGCACTAGCAGTTTTGGAGGTTGAAGTTATTTGTGGAATAATATCACACTCCTCTTCTCTGGGGTGAATGCCAGGAGAACGTGCAGGGAATAAAAATCAATACCTGTCTTCAAGACAGCTTCAGAGCCAGATGGCCACCCAGATGCTGGAACAGAGGCCCGGAATTATCACCAACACAGAGACATAGCCAAAGTGCCAGAGTGCATGGAGGAGGGAATTATGAACTCCAGGTGAAGACGCTGAGAGCAGCAAACAGTGTGAAAACCAAAACTTCAGCGCACATGGGCTTTCCTCAAAGTGTGACAGTGGAACCGAATGCATGGAGTCCGAACACGGCTGGAAAATCCAGACCTAGACAGTCACAATGGCTTAGTGAGGAAATACCATTTAAATCAGGTATTCAAGGAAATGATCTGACAGGTGGTGATGGAGTGGGGAGGTAGAGATTTCAGGGAGGAGGAATAACAGGAGCAAATCCAAGGAGGATTGAAAGACAGGGCAAGGCTGTTGTGCTGATTGCCTCCTGAGGTGTCTGCAGATGGAAAGAGTGACAGAGGAGCTGTTGGGGAGCCAGGGGAAGTGGCAGGGCAGGAAAGCAGCCCTTTTTCTGATATTTATGCCAGCTTCAGAAAGCTGCTCTGGGGTGAGGTCGATTCGGCACATTGCATCCCTATTTTCAAAGCTAACTTAAGGGCAGGTGGGACACCATTCAGGAGTAAGGATCTTCAAAGCCTTTCTTTCCTTTATGGGACTTGTTGGTGTGCTCTACTGGGCACTGCCAGCTTCTCCTCAATGTTGCATGAACTGAGTGTTTAAGGCCAGGCAATTCCGGGCTCTGGTTCCTCAAACTGGCTCCACAGCGATTTCTCAAGGTGCTTAAATATACTGATATAGAGGTCTGAAGTAAAGCCTGACAGATGTGTGAAACAATCTCTAGGTGAGCTTGGTGTTCAGCCAGCTCTGGGACCCTAATTTCCTCATGGCATTTGGAGTTAGCTAGCACATTTCAGAAGGCAAAGTGGTGTGAGAGCCTGTTGTAAATCTGGTTACAAAGTTGGCCAAATAAGAAACTGTTGATCTGAATTATGGGATCCTGTAGTCATAAAGTTTTTTAAATGACTAGTGGGAAAATAGTGAAAATTTATAGTGAAATTCTCTCTACTGTATATTTTACTTGTTTTTCCTTCTTCTCTAGGACGTAAATAGAACACAGTGAAATCCACAAAAAGAAAGGCTATTTTGTCTTTTGTAAAGTCTTAGGTTTTCAGAAAGGGAAGTAAATTGGTACCAGTAGAGTGGGGTATAGCTATTAAGATACCTGAAAATGCGGAAGTGACTTTGGAACTAGCTAACAGGCAGAAGTTGAAACAGTTTGGAGGCTCAGAAGAAGACAGGAAAGTGTGGGAAAGTTTGGAATTTCCTAGAGACCTGTTGAATGGTTTTGGCCAAAATGCTGATAGTGATATTGACAATGAAGTCAGGCTGAGGTGGTCTCAGATGGAGATGAGGAACTTATCGGGAACTGGAGTAAAGGTGACTTTTGCTATGCTTTAGCAAAGACACTGGTGGCATTTTGCCCCTGCCCTAGAGATTTGTGGAACTTTGAACTTGAGAAAGATGATTTAGGGTATCTGGCAGGAGAAATTTCCAAGCAGCAAAGCATTCAAGAAGTGTCTTGGGTGCTCTTAAAAGCATTGTTTTATTCATTCAGCAATATATGGTTTGGAATTGGAACTTATGTTTAAAAGGAAAGCAGGGCATAAAAGTTTGGAAAATTTGCAGCCTGACAATGTGATAGTAAAGAAAACTCCTTTTTCTGAATTGACATTCAAGCCAGCTGTAGAAATTTGCATAAATAACAAGGAGCTGAATGTTATTGCTCAAGACAATGGGAAAAATGTCTTCAGGCCATGTCAGAGGTCTTCACGGCAGCCCCTCCCATCACAGGCCCAGAGGCCTATGAGAAAAAAATGGTTTTGTGGTCTGGGCCCAGGGCCTTGCTGCTTTGTACAGTCTAGGGACTTGATGCCCTGCATCCCAGCTATGGCTACAGGGGGTCCAATTTACAGCTCAGGCCATTCCTTCAGAGGGTGCAAGCCCCAAGCCTTGGTGGCTTACACATATTGTTAGGCCTTTCGGTGCACAGAAGTCAAGAACTGAGGTTTGGGAATCGTTGCCTAGACTTCAGAGGATGTATATAAATGCCTGGATGTCCAGGCAGAGGTGTGCGGCAGGGGTGGAGCCCTCATGGATAACCTCTGCTAGGGCAGTGCAGAAAGGAAATGTGCAGTGGGAGCCCCCACACAGAGTCCCCACTGGGGCACTGCCTTGTGGAGCTGTGAGAAGAGGGCCACCATCCTCCAGATGCCAGAATGGTAGATGGAAAAAAACGCAGATTCAATGTCAACCCATGAAAACAGCCAGGAGTGGGGCTCTACCTGGCAAAGCCACAGGGGTGGAGTGGCCCAAGACCATGGGAATCCACCTCTTGCATCAGCATGACCTGGATGTGAGACTTGGAGTCAAAGGAGACAATTTTGGAACTTTAAGTTTTAATGATTACCCTATTGGATTTTAGACTGGCATGGGGCCTGTAGCCCCCTCATTTTGGCCAATTTCTCCCACTCAGATTGGGTGTATTTACCCCATACTTGTACCCTCACTGTATCTAGGAAGTAGATTCAAGTAGATTGCTTTTGATTTTACAGGACCTATTGGATTTTGGACTGGCTTGGGGCCTGTAGCCCCCTCATTTTTGCCAATTTCTCCCACTTGGATGGGTGTATTTACCCTATGCCTGTAGCCCCACTGTATCTAGGAAGTAGATCCAAGTAGATTGCTTTTGATTTTACAGGCTCCAAGAAAGGGACTTGCCTTGTCTCAGATGAGACTTTGTACTTGGACTTTTGAGTTAATGCCGGAATAAGTTAAGACTTTAGGGGGACTGTTGGAAGTGCATGATTATGTTTTGAAATGTGAGGACATGAGATTTGGGAGAGGCCAGGGGCAGAATGATATAATACGGCTGTGTCCCCACCCAAATCTCATTTTGAATTGTAGTTCCCATAATCCCCACATGTTCTGGGAATGACCTGGTGGGAGGTAATTGAGTCACCAGAGCAGTTACCCCCTGCTGCTGTTCTCATGACACTTAGTGGGTTCTTATGAGATCTGATGGTTTTATAAAGGGCTTTTCCCCCTTTTGCTCAGCACTTCTCCTTCCTGCTGCCTTGTGAAGAAGGACGTATTTGCTTTTCCTTCCACCGTGACTGTAAGTTTCCTGAGGTTCCCCCTCCCATCCGCCATGCTGAAGTGTGAGTTAATTAAACCTCTTTCCTTTATAAATTTCCCAGTCTTGGGTATATCTTTATTAGCAGCATGAAAAAGGAACTAATACAGAAAGGAAACAGGAAAAGAAAGAGGGATGGGAATCAACATTTATCTTAATGAGGTAATTTAAAATTTGAGGATTTATTTATTTATTTATTATAAAACAGTAAATTATAAGCTGGACATGGTAGCTCATGCCTGTAATTCCAGCTAACCAGGAGGCTGAGGAGGGAGGATTGCTTGAGGCCTGTACTTCTAAACCAGCCTGAGTAAGATGGCAAGACTGTCTCTACAAAAAATAAAAAATAAAAACTTAGCCTGGGCCAGGTGCTATGGCTCATGCCTGTAATCCCAGCACTTTGGGAGGCCAAGACGGGAGGGCTGCTTGAGTCCAGGAATTCAAGACCAGCCTGGGCAACACAGTAAGACTCTGTCTCTAAAAAACCCCAACTTAACCTGGCATGGTGGCACAGCCTTTATTCCTAGCTACTCAGGAGGCTAAGGCAGGAGGATTTCTTGAGCCCAGGGGGTCAAGGCTGCAGTGAGCTGTGATTGCACCACTGCACTCTACCCTGGATAATGGAGTGAGACCTCATCTCTTAAACAAAACAAAAAAAATAGTAATTAAAATGTTGAGTTTAATTAAAAGGTGACCAAAGCTTAGAGTACTAAAAATGCATTGCTGAAAAACGTAGAATAGCCAAAATGTTCTTAAAGAACATGGTTGAAAGATCGCCATCACTTGTTTTCTAGTAACTAAGACTTGCTAGAAAACTGTAGCAATCAAAACAGTGTGGTATTGACATAAAAATATACATATAGATCAAAGTAACAGAATAGAGTCCAGAAATAGATCTACTTATACACCAACCATTTCTTGACAAAGATATGAAGACAATTCAATGGTGAGAGGAGAATCATAATTTATGTGCTCTTTTGTGTCTTTTTCTGTATAACCTGGTGCTTTTGAGATTTGTTGATTTTATTGCATTTATCAGTATTTGTCCTTAATTGCTGAGTAGTGTGCTATCATACAAATGTTCCACATTTATATGATTGGCTGTTCTCCTCTTGATGGATGTTTGAGCTGTTTCTTAATGGGAGCTGTTATAAATAAGTCAGTTATGAATATTCTGGTACAAAACTCTCTTTGTAAACATGTTTTATTTCTCTCAGGTAAATACTGAGAGCTGGAATTGTTGGATTGTAGGGCAAGTATATGTTTACTTTTATAGGAAACTGCCAAAGTGATGGAATCATTTTACCCTTTCACAACCAATACACGAGATTTCTTCTCATTTCCCAAACTCACTGATGTTGGTGTAGTTAGTATTTAATTTTTCAGCCATTCCAATTTGTTTATTGGTCACTTATTATGATTTTTTGTTTCTGTTCCATGGTGAGCAGATATATGCAAATCTACCCCCAGTTTGAGGAAGTTGAGAGGCTGAAGTAAGAAGCTGACAAATCCAGTTCTCAGAAAGAACATTTAATAGGCACTTATGAATAGAAATCATGTCTGTGTCTCGGTTGGTGGTGAGACAAGATGGTGGATGCCTGTGCCATTTCCCTTGCATTATTCCATTCTCATGCTGCTGTACGGACATACCCTAGACTGGGTAATTTACAAAGTAAAGAGGTTTAATGGGCTCACAGTTCCACATGGTTGGGGAGGCCTCACAATCATCCTGGAAGGCAAAGGAAGAACAAAGTCACATCTTACATGGCGGCAGGCAAAAGAACATGTGCAGAGGAACTGCCTTTTATAAAACCACCGGATCTCATGAGACTTATTCACTATCACAAGAACAGGATGGGAAAAACCTTCCCCCATGATTCAATTACCTCCCACTGGGTCCCTCCCATGACACATGGGAATTATGGAAGCTAAAATTCAAGATAAGATTTGGATGGGGACACAGCCAAACCATATCAACACCCAAGACCCAGGGCTTACATACCATAGGGAAAGAGTATATGTGATTCAGAAGTGATGTGCAGGACAACTGAAGTATGATAATATCAAGGTTGTTTTGACATAAGGGTAGGATTTACATTAAGTATGGGTAAGTATGTGCACTTACACAAGGAACAATAGGTAAACTAGAAATCTCGGAGGCCTTCCAGGAACAGGGGTTAATCAGAAGCCAACATGGCAGATTAGCATCCAAGATGGAGTTGCTTTAGCCTCCACAGTTTCCCTAATGACTAATCATGTTGAGCACTGTGTCCCTGTTACTGACCTTTTGTATATTTTCCTTTGTGAAAGGTCTGACATGATAGTTTTGATATTCATCAATTTTGTTGTATTTATCAGGATAGGATATATGGCCTATCCTTTTATTGCTGGGTAGTAGTCTATTGTACAGATATACCACAATTATATATATTTTCTTTATGGCTGGTTTTGTCCTGGAAAGTACTATATTTGAAAAGTTCAAACTGCTACAGAGAAAGGATTTATTTGAGGCAATGTGATTTGAAATCCTGGAGTTTAATATGCTATGCTACTTATCAGGAGAAAGAGAATAGAGTGCAATAAAGGAGAAAGAGTGTTTTGGAAGCATAGGTAAGAAACAGAATTACAAGATGAGTTCAAAATATGTATAATACATTTGATAAAAATGTGTAGCCCAAACTATAAAAATTATGGCTTGTGAAATATATGACATATTTTACATTCAGTTGCAGAACTTCTATCCATGTGACTCACTATTTTAATTAAAAATTTATGTAAATTTATAAAATAGCATTTATAGTTCTGTCTCATTTAGATCCAACAGAAATGTCACATCCCAGACTGTCCAGTTCAAAAATCAGACATCTGCTAATCCTGATAAGAAAGTGTATCAGTTAGGATTTAGCCAGGAATCAAAACCACCAGTAATTTGGGAATAGGGATAATTTAATATGATGAGTTATTAACTGGCAAGAGGTGATTAGCTGCTAGCAGAGTAACTTAAGTGAAACAGAACTCAAGAATACAGGAGTGCAGCTGGAGTGTAAGTTCCACCAATCAGACCCATGTTCAGAGGATTTCAAATCAGAAGCAGGCTACTTAAGCAAGGAGGCTCTGCATTTTGCTGCCAAAAGCTGATGCATAGGTGTCTGGCTTTTGGAAGCATCCAGGGTGGCAGGAACAAGTTGCTGACACAGGAGTGGAACCTCGAATAGTGTCAGTAGAAGTAAAGTCTGCAGATGTGGCAGCCATCGTTTGCATGAGGGAAAGGCCAAGAGAATCAATAAAATGCAGGACAAGTCACTGTTGAGCTGCTTAACTACGTGCTGTTGTCTATTTATGCTCACTCTCTGGGCAGCTTCATGTTCCAGTCTTCTCTGATCTCTATTGTCATCCCTGCCCATGCTTAATCTTTTTTTATGTGTCAGGGTTTTTTTTTTTTTTTTCATCATCTTATTAGTTTTTCAAAGTACCAGCTTTTAGCTGTTGATTTGCATATAGTACATTTGCTTTCTTTTAATTGATGTCTTTTCTTTATTATCCAGTTACTTCTACTTTCTTTTGTTTAATTTGCTATTCTTTTTCTAGCTTCTTGTGATAAAAGCATAGTTAAGTGATTTTCAACGTTTCTTCTTTTCTAATATAAGCATTTGACGCTGTAACTTTTCCTCTAAGCTACATTCCACAAGTATTAGTATATTTTATTGTTATTACCATTCAGTTCAAAATATTTTAAAAATTTTACTATGTTCTTGTCTTTGACCCATGGGTCATGGAGAAGTATGTTGCTTCATTTTCAAACATTAGGAATTTTCTATTTTTCTTTGTGTTACTAATTCCCAGTTTAACGAAGACTGTGGTCAGAGAACTCAGTCAATTTGATTTAAGTCTTTTTTTTTTTTGAGACGGAGTCTTGCTCTGTCGCCTGGGCTGGAGGGCAGTGTGCAATCTTGGCTCACTGCAACCTCCGCCTCCCAGGTTCAAGCGATTCTCCTGCCTCAGCCTTCTGAGTAGCTGGGATGAAAGGCATGCGCCACCACACCCGGCTAATTTTTTTTTTTTTTAATTTTTAGTAGAGATGGGGTTTCACCATGTTGGTCAGGCTGGTCTCAAACTCCTGACCTTGTGATCCGCCCACCTTGGCCTTCCGAAGTGCTGGGATTACAGGCGTGAGCCATCACGCCCGGCCAATTTAAGTCTTTTGAAATTTGTTGTGACTTGCTTTGTCATCCAGAAGATGGCCTATTTTGGTAAATGCTATTACAGATTTGCAATGGAAAAGAATATGTACTCTTCAGTCAGGTAGAGTGTTTCCTATATTAGGCCAACTTGATTAATCATCTTCTAGTCTTTCACATCCATACTGATTTTGCCTACTTGTTCTGGTAGGGACTTAGAGACATGTGTTAAAATCTCCAACTACGTTTGTGAATTTGTTTATTTCTTCCTTTACTTAGAAGCTATGTTATTATGTGCATATACATTTAGGATTTCTATATTATTGTTGAACTGACCCTTTTAATTGTAAAATGTTCTTCCTTATGTCTAATAATAATTCTTCACTTGAAATCTACTTTGTCTTATAGTAACATAGCTACACTTGTTTGACTTAAACACAACTCTGCAAAATCCTAGCCTATTCCTCAATTATTCATATAGCTTTCTTTTGGTTTGTGTTTGCAAGGTATTTATTTTTCCATTCATTTATTTTCAAACTTTCTTTGTCCATCTGTATATGCTACTTATAAACAACATACAGCTGAATTTTGTCTTTCATTTCAGTCTGACAATGTTAACTTTTAATTTGCTTTTGATTAGCCTGTTTACATTTAATGTAATTTTTAATAGTTGTGTTTATGGCCACCCACTTGCTATTTTATTTTATTTCACCATTCTGCTCTTTGTTCCTCTTTCTTCCATTCTTCTTGTCTTTTGGATTATCTTATTTCATTTTTTATTCTATTAGCTTTTGAATTATATCTGTATCTCTCCATTAATAATACGAACTGTTATTTGTTTGGTGTACCCTTGGGATTTGGTTCCTTTCTTATTTTCTTTTGGATGATGTTTTTATGATTCCTCTACTCCCCTCTACTAGCTTTTTCGCACATCAATATAGTTATAGCTATTTCCATAAATGTGTACATAGATGCATAAATATATATATGTATACGTGCTTGTGAATTTGTTTTTTATCTTTCTTTACTTCGAAGCTACGTTATTATGTGCATAAAAATTTGGGATTTCTGTATTATTGTTGAACTGACCTTTTTAATTATAAAATGTTCCTCTTTATGTCTAGTAATAATTCTTCACTTGAAATCTATTTTGTCTTATAGTAACATAACTACACAGCTTTCTTGTATAGTGAAAGAACAAAGTATATTTATAATATACTTTAACAATTTACGTTAAAATAAAATATAAGGTATTTTATTTTAATTGGTGGTTACTACAGTGATTCAATATTTACCCTTGACCTAACATAGCATAGCTTAACTTAGTCCTTGTACCACTTCTAAACATCCAAAAATCTTAAAACTCATTAAATCCAGATTTCACCCTTCTCTCTTTTTTACTATTATTGTCATATAGTAAAAATTTTACTATATGACACATTGTTATCTCCATTAGATATTATTGTAATTGTTATTTTTAAAACGTCAATGTTAAATCATAATGTATATATTTGTTTACTTATTTATTTTTTCTATCTTTATTTCTCCCTGCAGCTCTTCAGCTAGAATTTTCATCAGTCTGAAATATTCTCCTTAGTATTTCTTGTAGTGCAGATCTAGTGAAGAATTCTCCAGGATTTGTAGGCAACAGTGTTTCATGACCTACTGGTTAGAAAACCTTGCCTAAGAAAAAAAGAATGAGACTAAGATGAACATTTTAGCCAATCTAGGAAATTATTGGATAGATATTTTGAGTTAGATGAGAATTTCATTTTATTTACCTAAATTTTATTCATATGTTAAATATATTGGTCACAGCATGTCTTCATAACTAAATTAGCATTTTTCTCTAAGATTTGAGAACTTCAACCCTAATATGGATGTATTTAGCTGCCTTTGTTATGGCATCTTAACATAAGTGTGCATGGCTTGCTGTGAATACTCAATAAATATTCACTGAAAGAATGAACATGAAAAGAGGTTTTTACAAATAAAAATCATTAAATTAATTGACCTAAAGATAAATATAAGCATATGGGCCGGGCGCAGTGACTGATGCCTGTAATCCCAGCACTTTGGGAGGCCGAGGTGGGTGGATCACAAGGTCAGGAGATCGAGACCATCCTGGCTAACACAGTGAAACCGTGTCTCTACTAAAAATACAAAACATCAGCCGGGCGTGGTGGTGGGTGCCTGTAGTCCCAGCTACTCAGGAGGCTGAGGCAGGAGAATGGTGTGAACCCAGGAGGTGGAGCTTGCAGTGAGCCGAGATGGCGCCACTGCCCTCCAGCCTGGGCGACAAAGTGAGACTCCGTCTCAAAAAAAAAAAAAAAAAAAAAAAAAGCACATGTTATCACTTGTCAGTTTCCCAAAGGCTATTTGAAAAGGAAGCGTCCCTGATGAGCAGAGCAGCCAGCAGTCACCCAAGCCACATGTTGAGTAACAGTGAAACACACAGCAACAAACCAGATATTCTGGTGACACTGCAAAACAGATAGCCAAGGACAACCTCAGACTTGCAGATTTTCCTCTTTCTGTATTATCACACAAGTCACACTATATTCTATTAGATTTTGATGCAGAATTATGTCAATATTACCTAATTAGAAGCCACTATAAATTGCAAATCAAATCCTATCCTGATGGAAATGAGTATATTTCTACTAAATGATCACATAAATAACATCATACATTTAAATCTGTGAGGAACAAATTTTATATTTAGAAAATTGGTGATTATCAAAGATAACCTTCCTTTATACCTGAATTACATTGAAAGGCAATTGAATCATGTTAAGATACATTTCCTTTCAGTAATCCAGGTAAATTCTCAAAACTAAACCTAGGGTAACATCAGATATGTTAAACATAAATACGTGATGTGATTTCATAGTATGGACATACATCAAACACAAAAGTGCGCTCATCACAGAATGGTTTGTTAACTTCAGGTAGCTTTTCTTTTATTAAGATAGTTTGGCCTGAAATCTTCACACTTTGAGAGGCTGAGACAGGAGGGTTGCTTGAGCCCAGGAGTTTGAGACAGGCCTGGGCAACATGGTGAAACCCTGTCTCTACTAAAAACACAAAAATTAGCTGGGCATGGTGGTGTGGACCTGTAATCCCAGCTACTCAGAAGGCTGAGGCAGGAGAATCGCTTGATCTTGGGAGGCAGAAGTTGCAGTGAGCTGAGATTGTGCCATTGCACTCTAGCCTGGGTGACAGAGCGAGATTGCGTCTAAGAAAAAAAAAAAAAAGTTTGGTTTTACATTTGGTGCAAAAGTAGGTAAGGAGTCAGAAGTTTTTGTTTCATTGAAAACATTAACCTAAAATAAAACTTTAAAAATTACTATCTCTTGTTTGAGAAATTGTTTATTAATTTTAGTAGCAAAATAACTCAAAATTGAGCATGAAATACCCTATTTCATCGAATCTCAGTCATCATCAATTTTAAGAACATTATTTTATGTATCGTTAAGAAAGAAGCACTTTTTCAATTCTACTATTACCAATACTTCTTTTTTTTTTTTTAAAAAAAGAGACTTTAACAACCATTTTAGGTTTACAGAACTCAATGCCTTTTCGTCATTAAAATCATGTCGTGCATTTATTGACAGAGGTCTCGGAGGTTTTAGACATGGATTTTAAAATATGTATCTCTCTTATGCATATGTAAAAGAGAAAATATAAACAAAATAAAAATTTGAAGATATTTTCAAACGTTTTTGGTATTCAGTGTCCATCTTTTCACAATTACTAACATCCATATTTTAGTTTCCTCTACACCCCGTGTTATGGAGAACCTTGGTGATGCCTCAGCTCTTAAAAGCCCTGGGAGGCTGAGGCGGGCAGACAGCTAGCTCAGGAGATCGAGACCATCTTAGCTAACATGGTGAAACCCTGTCTCTACTAAAAAAAAAAAAACAACAACAAAAAAACACTTAGCCGGGCGTGGTGGCGGGCGCCTGCAGTCCCAGCTACTCGGGAGGCTGAAGCAGGAGAATGGCGTGAACCCGGGAGGTGGAGCTTGCAGTGAGCCGAGATGGCGCCACTGCACTCCAGCCTGGGCGACAAGAGCGAGACTCCATCTCAAAAAAAAAAAAAAAAAAAAAAAAAAAAAAAGCATGCTCTGCTCTAGGTGCTGGTATTTTCGTCTCAGCTTGTATTCCTTCTGCAAGTTTTTTAGAAATCAGTTTCATAGGCTTGTGCTTTGAAGTACAATACCTATCCCTTCTGGGGAGCGTAGGAGAGTGAATGATGCATTACTACTTTCGGAAGGCAGAATAATGCCCTCCTAGTGCCGTTAGAAGGAACACGGTCCTGACAACAGCTTGATTTGAGCCCAGTGAGTCCCATATTGGGTCCTTCAGAATTGTAAGTCCCAAAATGGGGTCCTTCAGAACTGTGACCCCATTGTGACCTTCAGAATTGTAAGTGAATACATTTATGTTGTGTTCAGCCACTAAATTTGTGGGAATATGGTATAACAGCAATAATAACTAATACACCATTCATGTCTTATTATAAATTAACTTAGTAGATACTTTGTTCCAGGGCAGTACTTACCTGGAACAAGAAGGACTCTGGGGAAAAAGAACCCCATGCCAAAAAAGGGAACACCACTTATTTCGCATTTTTTCCTTGTCTAGAAAGGACCACACATAACTACCAGATTAAATGAAACAAAAGAAACCACAGTCAGCCTGAAAACAAAGCAACACCAACAACAAAAACAGGGGCTCATTTCCAATAAGACAGGAGCAGCCTCTTTCCTTAGACTGAGGGTTCAGTGCTGAGCCTCATTTGAATGAATTCCTCTTGGTATATGCACCCTTTTCATTCCATTGTCCTTTTCTTTTCTTTGCTCTTCTCTTTTCTTTTCTTTTCCTTCCTTCCTGCCTGCCTCCCTCCCTCCCCTCCTCCCTTCTTTCTTTCTTTCCTTCCTTCCTTTCTTTCTTTCTTTCTTTCTTTCTTTCTTTCTTTCTTTCTTTCTTTCTTTCTTTCTTTCTTTCTTTCTTTTTCTTCTTTCTTCTTTCTTCTTTTTTTTTTCTGAGACAGAGTCTTGCTCTGACATCCAGGCTATAGCGCAGTGGTGCAGTCTTGGCTCACTGCAGCCTCCATCTCCTGTGTTCAAGCGATTCTCCTGCCTCAGCCTCTCGAGCAGCTAGGACTACAGACACGTGCCACCACACCCGGCTAATTTTTGTATTTTTAGTAGAGACGGGGTTTCACCATGTTGGCCAGGCTGGTCTCAAACTCTTGGCCTCAAGTGATCCGCCTGTCTTAGTCTCCCAAAGTGCTGGGATTACAAGTGTGAACCGCCGCACCTGGCCCCATTGTCATTTTCAAGGTCTCCAAAGTATTATCTTTCTTTTGTAATGACAAAATACATTTCAAATGGCTGGATTTATTTATTTGTTTTTTTGGAAAGAAGAGAAAAATATGTGATTCACACATATTCTTTTGCATTACAAGGAAGTCTGGGAATGGTAATACAATGACAATGAATACTTTCAAGAAAAAGTCTTGGTTAGAGTGGGGAATGTGTTTGATAATCCACATGAGCAAGTCCTGGGAAGTTTAATCAGGACAAATTTCTGGATTCTACTGCCTGAGGTTTTAGGACTGCTAGTAGAAGGGAGGGAGTTGTTTTTGGAGTGACGATTTATGGATCATAAAAAGAAAATGTGGTCCATGAAGCATGTACAGAGATCATTCTTGGTTTTGGTGTTGAACTAGCTTTCAGCTAGAATCACTCTTTGGTAGGAGAAAAAACAACCGTTTGGAAGCTGATTGGATAGCTTAAAGTTTGAAGGATGAAAGGAAAAAGACAATCACATCAAAATTTAGAAGCTTAAAAATTGTAGCTAAAAAAAAAATAGTGAACAAAGTCGTGTTTCTATGGCTGACATAGAAAAAATAAATATTTATACATACATACACACATGCATGAACAGGCGTTAATATATGACAGCAGTTCGCTATATGAACATTTCACAGATCTAAATACAAATACATTCCAAAGTAAAATATTGAAATAACATATACTAAAGACCTGAACATGTATGTAGTTCATTCAAAAATTCACATCATTAATGAATATGTGATATTAAATATCCCTTAAGCTTTCATTGAAATGAGCTTTTAATTATTTCTAGAGCTCTAGAAATAGTACAAAATATTAGAAGTCATAATGTGTTCTGCAAAGAGAGGCTTTGATTCAGAGAATGGAGAGAATTATTCATTTTGTTGGCTAGTATGAGGGTCAGGAGTTTGTATTAAATTTCTGCTTGAAGAATTATTGACCATATAATAGATAGGAGGCTACATAGATTGAAAGAATAATTCAAATCAATTAAAATGTGGAAGTATGAAGATAGGCTGTTGCATTTTTAAATATTTAACAAATATAAGAACCTACCAAGTGTCAAAGTGTTTTTCTAGGCTCTGTATGTACCCTGGCATCGGGAGGGACAGAAAAAAGACATAAACACTCTGTTTCCATGGAGCTTACCTTCTACAGAGGGCAGATAGGCCATAAACATATTTGAAAACATACGAAGAGTTAATACGTGCTGTGAAGAAAAATAAAGTAGGGTGCTTAGGTTGAGAATAGAATAGGAATGTGGTATTTTGGATAGGAGGACCAGAGAAGGCTGTTTTGAGTAGTTTACATGTGAGCAGAGCATAAATGACATATGACATAGAACAGCCATGTGGATTGCTGGGAGAGGCATATATTCTAGGTGGAAATCCAGTAAGCCTAAGGCATGTGGCTGTAGCCAGCTTCACTTGTACCTGAAGTAACGCCTCTAAGCTCTTCGTCTCCCATTGGTGGCAACTAGAGAATTTTGGGTGACAGAGTCACCCAGAAACTCATCCTAAGTCTGTTCCCCGTTTCTCCTGTTGCTTGGCAGGAAACTCTGGACTCAAGAACCTTTCCCCTGTGCTTTCTATCCTTTAAACCGTCTCTTGAATAAGAAGAAGACAGGGATATATAACCAACCTCTGAAGTATTGCCTCAAGTATGAACAGAAGCATGTGGGGCACCTGGGGTAGTAAGAAGTCTGGAGACCTTCCCTTTATTCTGAGTGGACTTAATTCTATATTTTGTTTCACCGTTTAAAATAATCAATAGCATAAGAATATAACTAGAGAGCTTTCAGAAAGTGCCGCGCCTCCCAGGGGAATACTCGAACACTCAGCCGTCAGTGTGAGCCTGGACATGCACCTGGAGCCGAGGGCATCTGAGCTAGAAGAGGTGACTCTTTCTTGTGGGGGAAAGGGGGTTTCCCTCTCTGTAGTTACCTTTACTCTGTAAAGTAGCAAAAGTCTCTATCAGGCAGGAAACAGCAACTTAAAAGCTGGAGTTTTAAATCAGGAAATAGCAAAGGAACAACACAACAACAACAACAACAAAAATAGTTGGCTACAAGTTGAAAAAAATGGGACTGGGGACAGATGTCAGGAAAACGTGGCTCTCATGCCCTGCTGTGAAGCCTCCACAATGGGAAAACTGCCCCTGTAAACTTTATAACATTAAATCAGAAAAACATGGAGGGTTTTTTTTTTTAAATTTTAACAAAAATAAAAAAAATAGAAGCTTGCAACACATTCAACATTAATCATTAAGTCAGCTTGTTCTCTGACCTGCTTTCTGATAATTACGTAATGTCTATAGCCTCAAAACAATGTAGACCCTGTTACAAGATTATAATTCCCCTTAACTCTCTATAGATAACAACTTAACCATTATAAAATGTTAAGTTTTCCCTTTGAGATATTCAAGTCCTGCATTCTAATAAAATTACTGACTCACCTGGTCTGAAAGACTCTACTAATGCCAGCAGATCTAAAAAACTCTACTGACATCAGCTGGTCTGAAGGATCCCACAAGAAGCTGACTCACCAAAGAATGCACTTTCCACATCATGAAGGTTTCATGCCTCTTACCCCAACCAATTAATGACCCCAATTCTCTAGTCCTTCATCCTCCATAATCCCCTTAAAAGCCCCAACCCCAGCTGGGCGCTGTGGCTCACACCTGTAATCCCAGGACTTTGGGAGGCCGAGGCGGGCGGATCACAAGATCAAGAGTTCAAGACCAGCCTGGCCAATATGGTGAAAACCCGTCTCTACTAAAAATATAAAAATTAGCTGGGCGTGGTGGTGGGCGCCTGTATTCCTAGACACTTGGGAGGCTGAGGCAGGAGATTCGCTTGAACCTGGGAGGCAGAGGTTGCAGTGAGCCAAGATCGCGCCACTGCGCTCCAGCCTGGGCTACGGAGCGAGACTGTCTCAAAAAGAAAAAAAAAAAAAAGCCCCAGCCCCAAACTCTTCAGAGACATGTACTTGCGAATCTCTTCCCATCTCGTCGCTCAGCGCCCTGTGATAATTAAACTCTTTCTCTGCGACATTCCTGCTGTCTGTGTAACTAGTATATTACTACACAGCAGACATACAAGCCTGTTGGTCCTATAACACATTATGGTGATCTAGCCAGGAGTCCCTTGTGGGCATTTGCACATGGCTCGGTGCTACCATGTCATTGGGACGGACCTGGAGTCGAGTCCAAGTGGCTGCTCAGTTTCGTTGAACTAGGGTGCTGTCTCCTGTGCCTTGTCTGTTGATGGGGCAGTGTCAATCCTGGTGCATAAATTGCCTTCAGCAAAGTAACAATTACTCGTTTTGAAGACATCTTTGGTAAATTTTCTCTATGCAACTGGCACCCTTTTTCCTTTCTCCTGATTTTTTGGCCTCTTCAGAGGTCTCGTGGCCTCTTCGGGGGTTTGTGTCTTCTTTGGGAGTCTTGCAGCCTCTTTGGAGGTCTTGTTGACCATCCCTAATAATAGGAAGGGTCTTGTTTGAGAGGATTCTCCTATACTGGAAAAAAAATAAAGGGCACTGCTTGGGAGAAATACTCTTAATTTTTAAAATTTAAAACTTTATTTTGGAAGGCCTTTTGTTTGTCTTTGTCTTGTTATGTACGTTTATATTTGTGAAAAATATCCCTAAAGGAATTGCTAGTGAAAGCTCAGCAGGCCTCACTTAGGGTGGCCGTCCACTTTTCCACCTTGCCCAGAGACCACCTGCTGAACTCCTGGGCACAGGTCATTCCTTTCCACTTTGATCCCTGGATCAAAGGTGCCGGGGCCCGCAGAGGCAAGGTTGAATCTTTCCACGTCAGATCTGGGCACTGAGCAGAGTGACTAGCATCTGTGTTTTTGTCGTGTGAGTCCTCTCAGCCAGAATGGGAAATGTTGGTTAGGTTCCTCCAGGCAGCCCCATTAGGCTGCATCTTGAGAATTGGGAAAACAAGAGGTGTCCTCTTTAGATCAGTACAATGAGTAATTTATCCACTAAGGGCAGAAAAACTGCAAAAACTCTGGGAAAGTTAAAAGGCACGCCATGTTTTCTAGGACTCCAGCTGGTTACATACATGGCCTGCTATTGTGCACATTTTAAACTGATGGGCAAATGACAGTGAGGAAAATCCAGAACTCAAAAGGTTGATTTGCAGCTATAGGATTAAAAACTCTTTGTGAATCTTTCTCTTTATTTTCTTTTCTGCCTACTTCTAATCTGCTATTATTAAGCTACTGGTTTTGAGATAAAACTCTCTGTTCGTGGTACTACTAACTCAAAGTTACTTGGGGATTTTGTTTTTCTTATACAGTTCTGCCAGTACTAGCTGAAATGTAAACATTAAAACTCATTTAAAACTGGGAGTGGAGGGGAAAGGATAAAAATGTTTTTTTCCCGTAAAAACTTCTTTGGTTCACAGCCTTCATTGGACTACCTACCAAGGCACACAAAGTTTAGCCATGTGGACAGGCTCCCAATTTTGTCCAAAATAATTCAGATTCAGCCATCTTTTATAAACTGGTGAGTTTGTATTACCATCTCATGGCTAGAATTCCGAAGTAAAAGCTGTAAAATCCTTGTTTATATGTGTGTGTGTTTAGATAAATTTACTTATATAAACATATATTGTGTTATATATTAAGTCTACACGATACCAACTTGGCTTATAAATAATAAAACACTCATAAATTAAGTACATAACTCCAAATATCTTTCAAGTTAATGTGATTTAAATAAATCTTTAATTTAAAAACTGGCTTTAAAATTATAAATAAAATTAAAATTAAATATCTTCAAAATTATCAGCATACATTTGTGTCTGGGTTTATTGGCTAAATGGTTTTATATTTGTCTTTGCTAAATGTATTATGGTGTCAGGGTTTGGCATGAAGCATACAAAGCTATAAACCCAGCCAAAAACAAAATAATCTTTATTTGTATATATTTTTGATAAATAGGGCCAATTTGATGTTGTTGGTTTAATGAAAACAGCTAAACCTTCTGAGTTATTGGCAAAAGTATCCATATGTTTACTCTAAGTTTCTACTTAGGTAAACACCTGATATTCAGAGGCTATAAAAATGGTTAACAGAGGAATAATTTTAAATGATGACTATCTTTGTCTAATATCTCAGTTTTCATAAGTAATCTAGTTAAACTGTTAAAAAAAATAAATTAATATAAATGAGACAAATGCTTATGGGTAAACTTTTGTATAATTGAAATCTTAAAATTATCTTAAATAACCATTATTTCCAACTAAGAAAGGGTTATGATATTAAAAAAAAATGTTTCTAAAAATTGTGGAGTGGTTCTCATCCATAAAGTATGAATGTCTGGCAGACAATTCAAAATTTCTTGCTTCCTTGGTTTTCACTAAAATTTAAGGTTACTAAGAATAAAGATTCTAGTTAATATGTAATTCTGTATATAAAGTGTACCAAAAATATGTTCTTATTAAAAAAAGAATAATTTTGTCTAATTCAGAAATTATCTAAAGGTTGATTTAAATTATAGACCTGGAAAGTTATTCACAAAACAAGGTTAAAGAAAACCCAGGAAGTAGGAGAGAGAAATATTTTAAAGGTTATGACTATAAAAATAGTTTTAATAAATGAAAAAATTTAGTATGGTAAATTTTTGTCCTAAAATAAAATTATTAGTTATTTAAAAAAGAACTTGGTTTAGGACAAAGCAAAAATTTAAGAATGTCATTGATGGTCTATGAAAGTAATAATAAGGTTCATAAAAGACAATTTATTAGAAAAAAGTTTATGTCTGGGTGCAGTGGCTCATGCCCGCAATCCCAGCACTTTGGGAGGCCAAGGCAGGTGGATGGCTTGAGCTCAGGAGTTCCAGACCAGCCTGGGCAACACGGCAAAAACCCATCTCTACAAAAAGTGGAAAAATTAGTCAGGTTTGCTGGTGCACGTGCCTACAGTCCCAGCTACTCAGGAAACTGAGGTGGGAAGATCACTTGAGCCTGGGAGGTCAAGGCTGCAGTGGGCCTTGTTCAGGCCACTGCATTCCATCCTGGGCAACAAAGTCAGACCCTGTCTTAGTTAGTTACAATTTTATAAAATAATTTATAATAATTTTTCTAAAATTTAGCTCCCTATATTTAAATAAGATTTTCTTAAGATATTAATTCGCTCTTAAATTATAAGAGGTTCTCATTTTTAATTTTATAACCTTTTTTTTTTAAAAAGTCCCTCAAATTTATATCTCAGAAGTTCCACTTCTGCTGTGCCTTGGTGCTACCAGCTTTTTCACCCTTTGAGAAAGCCTGAGATAAGAACTCTTTCAACTTTTTTGTCAGCACCTATAACCTTGGCCTCCATTTCTAACTTTACTGTGATAGCCTGACACTGAAATGTTTATCTTAAAGGTCTGAAAAAGCAATGTTTTCTTCCAGTGCAACCTGGCTGTATACTCTTGGCTTTTCTTGATAAGTCTAAATTGTTCCGTGTAACAAGAAAACTTCCCATGCTGTTACTAAGAGTCATGTCTAAATAGTTTCTAGTTTCTCGTTTCCTTCATAATATAGTTTATATTCATAATCCTGGACACATGCTTCCTGCATCTGATTAATTCAAGAACCTTTTTCATCAGGTTTGACTTTCAGGTTATCTAAATGGGCTTCCCATAAGGAAAAGTAATCACACAGCAGGAGGTTTTTCTTTGCCTTTTTAATAACTGGCCTAAGAAACAGAGATTTTTACATTTTGCCAAGATAATTTCTATGTCGTTGTTAGAATTTTAATTACTTAAAAACACTAGGATTTAAAAGGATTAAATTTTTTACATACATATAACCTTCGGTATTTTCTTTAAGGTCTTTTACTTCTCAATCTTAGTTAAATAAATAACTATTACTTTACAGTGACCTCTGTCTGATTCTGTTTTGAGCCTTTTAACGTCTTTGATAAACATCTTCAAAATCAAATACTAAATTAAGTCTCTGACTTATTGCTGGGGCTTATCAAAGCTATAAAAATTAATCACTGCAAAGTTGTAAAATCTTTTTACAGCTTCCAGTCAGACCATGAACTGCAGTATCACCACTTCTAGCCTGACAATTACACTAAAAGAAAAATCAGCTAATGGACTCCCTCCAGCCCCTTTGAAAACGTTCTTTATTTCAGGTGCTATTAACTAATCCTTGATAATAGCACCTTATTAAGTGACAGGGCTTTGACTCCTGGGTACACGTATCTCATCTAAAAAAGGCATCAAATCTTGCTGAATCTTAAACATTGATACCTGTATGTGACATCAAACTCAAGTTAACCAAAGCCTCATCTTCAGACCCAGAAAAAGGTTCTAGTCAAAATGAATTGCTTTCGTGAGACATGAGGCCAGAATTTAAAACTATTCAATTTCTAGGCTCAGGGACTACCGTGAAAGAAGTGGGCACACAAAATTCCAAGGGCCAGTTTTGAGGGATAAAATTAGTTCAGATCCTCCAAATCCAGGATGGGCACATGAATGCCTAAATAGCCGACAAGTTGAGAAACTTTGCCTCTCTAAACTCCTTAACTCAAAAGGGTTTAACAAAATGCTTATGTCTCGTATAAATAATTGCTATCTCAGTATCTAAGACCAGGATTCAATTCTGTAAGCTTATCTTTGGCTTTTGGCTCTCAGCTGTTATGCTGCTCAAAAGTTTCTTAAGGGTTAATGAGTGTCTGCCCACCTCCATTGCCATCTGGCCTAGAACATTTAATTGGCAGTAAGTCTTTCGGCTCTAAGTCCTTTGGCCATAGGAGTCCCACTGACAACAATACGGGACAAAATAAAAGTTTGACCATCAATGCCGCCTCTGGCATATCTTAACCAAAAAGGGGAAACGTAAAATCCTAAGCACCCCCGTACTGACCGAACAGACTCACTTGTGGCCAAGAGGACCCCAGAAAAACCTTAAAACTTAGTTCCTGGCCATGAAGAGATGAGAGATCAGACGTGTCTCATAATACACCCTTCCTTTTTGAGTGTAGACACAACTCACCAGCATTACTATTAAAATAGAAATCACAATGAGACATGCAACGTGCTAGCAGCCCTTGCTCTCAGTGCCTCCTAGGCCTCTGCCCGGTGTCCACTCTGGCTGTGCTTGAGGAGCCCTTCAGCCTGCTACTGCACTGTGGGAGCCCTTCTCTGGGCTGGCCGAGGCCGCAGCCAGCTCCCTCTGCTTGTAGGGAGGTGTAGAGGGAGAGGTGTGGGCCGGAACCGGAGCTGTGCAGGGCGCTTGCGGGCAGCACGAGTTCCAGGTGGTCGCCGGCTTGGTGGGCCCTGCACTCGGAGCGGCCAGCCAGCACTGCTGGCCTTGGACAGTGAGGGGCTTAGCACCCGGGCCAAGAGCTGCGGAGGGTGCACTGGGTCCCCCAGCACTGCCGACCTGCCAGTGCCGTGCTTTAATTCTCGCCAGGCCTCAGCTCAGCCGCCTCCCCAGGGGGCAGGGCTTGGGACCTGCAGCTCGCCATGCCTGAGCTCCCCCGCCCGCCATGGGCTCCCGCTTGACCCGAGCCTCCCTGACGGGCACTGCCCCCTGCTCCGTGGTGCCTGGTCCCATCGACCGCCCAAGGGCTGAGGAGTAAGGGCACGTGGGGCGGGACTGGTAGGCAGCTCCCCTAGCTCCCCGTGCAGGATCCACTAGGTTAAGTCAGCTGGGCTTCTGAGTCTGGTGGGGACTTGGAGAACTTTTATGTCTAGCTAAAGGTGTGTAAATGCACCAATCAGCACCCTGTGTCTAGCTCAAGGTTTGTAAACGCACCAATCAGTGCTCTGTGTCCAGCTCAAGGTTTGTAAATGCACCAATCAGTGCTCTGTGTCTAGCTAATCTAGTGGGGACTTGGAGAACTTTTGTGTCTAGCTAAAGAATTGTAAATGCACCAGTCAGTGCTCTGTGTCTAGCTTAAGGTTTGCAAACACACCAGTCAGCACCCTGTCAAAATGGACCAATCAGCTCTCTGAAAAATGGGCCAATCAGCTCTCTGTAAAATGGACCAATCAGCAGGATGTGGGTGGGGTCAGATAAGGGAATAAAAGCAGGCTGCATGAGCCATCAGCGGCAACCTGGTGGGTACCGTTGCATGCTGTGGAGGCTTTGTTCTTTTGTTCTTCAAGATAAATCTTGCTGCTGCTGACTCTTTGGGTCTGTGTCGTCTTTAAGAGGTGTAACACTCACCATGAAGGTCTGCAGCTTCACTTCTGAAGCTGATGAGACCAGGAACCCACCAGAAGGAAGAAACTCCGGACACATCTGAAGGAACAAACTCTGGACACACCATCTTTAAGAACTGTAACACTCACCCGGAGCGGGGAGTCTGTGGCTTCATTCTTGAAGTCAGTGAGACCAAGAACCCACAGATTCTGGACACAACAAGACTGACAGAACAGACTCTGTGACAATAAAATGTCACTAGTACCCCTAAAGTTTTCAGTCTACTTTACAAGGACTTTAAAAATGTGGGCTCATAATTCTGACAATAGGACTTATAATGATCTTACAGTCCAGTATATAATTAAATACACGCCATGCTAAGACAGCGTGCAGGAGCGCTAATGTGTTCATGCTGTGCCCCTGAAGTGTCCAACTGGGCAGCCATACGTGCTTGCAGATTACTGCCAGGCAGTTTTATTCCTCAAATCCTGACTCTTACCGCAACTGTGCCCCTTGCCGGCAGGAAAAAGCTAGAGTGGTTTTCACCCAATTCACACTGTATTAGTTCTCACCTCAGGGTTGGGGTTTGATTAAGCCCAAGGTGGGCTAAAACCACTCCACTTTACAAAATTACTCAGCACATACAACATCAATCATTAAGTCAGTTGTATGACCTGCTTTGTCATAATTATTTAATGTCTGTTGCCTCAAAATCATGTAGACCCTGTTACAAGATTATAATTCCCCACAACTTAACCATTATAAAACATTAAATTTTCCCTTTGAGGTAATTCTTCAAGTCCTGCATACTAATAAAACTACTGACTCAGCTGATCTGAAAAATCCCGCTGATACCAGCTGATCTCAAGCACCCTACTGACTTCAGCTGGTCCAAACACCCACCCCCCAAGAAGCTGACTCACTAAAGAATGCAGTTTCCATGTGCTGACAGTTTCATCTCCCTCACCCCCACGAATCAACGACCCCAATTCTCCAGCCACTCACCTTCCATAATCCCCTTAAAAACTGCAGCCTAAAACTCTTTGAAAAACTGGATCTGAAAATCTACCCCTATCTCCTTGCCCAACGCTCTGCAGTAATTAAACTTTCTCTGCTACACCACTGCTGTCTGCATAATTGGCCTATTACTACACAGCAGACATACCTGTTTATCCTACAACAATAATACAATAAGTCTTCACTCAATGTTGTCAACAGTTTCTTGGAAACTGCAACTTTAAGTGAAATAATGACTCACAAAACCACTTTTACCATAGGCTAACTGATGTAAATGAGAGTTAAGTTACTGTGGCATTTTTCTGGTCACAAAACCATCACCATGCTTATAAATAAAAACCAAAACACTTTTACTGTTGAGCATTGAAATAAATGTAGGCTATGCATACATTTAAGAAAGATTAATAAGAACAAGTAAGATAATTACTTACTTGTGTATTCCAGTTCGGGATGGCGGGTGGGTGGAACCTGTCCTGGCTGCTCAGGGTACACTGAGACCATGTAGATACACCAATTCCAGGTGAGTTATGAAGCTTAGGTATGGGCACAGCTTTTGGATGTGAGAGGAAACCAGAGGACCTCGAGAAAACCCACATAAACATGGGGAGAACACACACACTCAACACAGTGGCCCTGGCCAAGAATCATTTCTTTTCTTCGTGAATGCTATAATGAAACAGTGTTAAACAAAATGACATTATTCAAGGACCTGCTATATAAGTTGAGAACACCTATGCCCAGGTGAGGGCTAGAGCCAGACAATGGTGGCCTGGTGAGTATATTTGAATAGAGCAATGTTTCTAGGGGTGCAGAGGCAGACATCCTTTGATAGAAGCCCAAGAGAGGTTTTAGAATTTCCGAAAACCATTTTTCTCTTTCTGGTGCCTGGCTGTTACTCTGGAAAAGACTTCATTTACTAATACTGATTTGTTAAAAATCTGCCTAGAAGATCTGAAGTTAAGATTTTGGACTCTTTATTCTTTTTGGATCAACCCTTTCCTTGAAGGCAGTTGTATTAGTCAGGGTTCTCTAGAGGGACAGAACTAATAGGAGATATATATATATATATATATATATATATATATATATCCTATAGGTTCTGTCATATGGCTGATAGGATATATATATCCTATAGGATATATATATATATCTATATATATATATAAAAAACTCATATATATATACACACATATATATATGTGTGTATATATATATATATATATGAGTTTTAAGCATTAACTCACATGATCACAGCGTCCCACAATAGGCCATCTGCAAGCTGAGCAGCAAGGAGCTTGTCCGAGTCCCAAAACTGAAGAACTAGGAGTTTGATGTTTGAGGGCAGGAAGCATCTAGCACTGGAGAAAGATGTAGTCTGGGAGGCTAGGCCAGTCACACCTTTTCACGTTTTTCTGCCTGAAAAGGGTGGATTGCCTTCCCCAGCCCACTGACTCAAATGTTAGTTTCCTTTGGCAACACCCTCACAGACATACCCAGGAAACTTTGCATCCTTCAAACCAATCAAGTTGACACTCAGTATTAACCACCAGAGCAGTATTTGTCACAACCTACAGTTTCGTGGACAGGGTTTGGTCAGGACTGGGGAGGAATGGTGATGGTGATAGAGAAAGCAATGGACTGAAAGACACAAGGAACATAGCAACCTCTTACCCTCTCAAGAGCTTAGCCTCCGACATGAGTGTGATGCCACTGTCTATTTAAAATACTGTTGACTCTAATAATGTCATCAGTGGTCTTGTGTATTGCTGTGCACTCTCATCTTCAGCATAGCTGGATACACACTTATTTTCCCTCAACCTCTTTTTCTTCACATGCTCCTGCTTTTTGATTGTCTTCCACTTTTAGGTTGATTGTGCTTTGAGGCAGCCACAGCACCTCCTAACACTTGAGATTAGCCCGAGGCTGAGTAAGAAACTGTGTTCAAGCCACTTGTTGGCTTATTAGAAGATGAACTGGATGTTGCTGTAGTCTTTCGCTGGCAGCTTACAGTGCAGGCAGTGAGGTGTATGGAGCATATCATTAGGGCCAGGTTGAGGTGTGAGCTGGAACTCCAGAAAGACAGGGAGAGCCTTGTTGGGGTCACTAATTCCTTCCTGCCTTAGTGATGCTCTAGACATGCATTTTGAGGAATAGTGGAGGTCATCAGGGAGGATTAAAGTGGGAAATAAGTGATGAAAAGGAGAAATGACAGTTATCATATAGTCTGAGATCTGTCATATGGTTGGAGTTTATTATTCTGCATTCTACACAAGTTCTCTCTTTTTTTGGCTCATGTACACTCAAAAGAATCTTCAAAAGTTATATACCCCTTGCATATTTGTAGTTTGTTCTCTAAACAATTTTCTCATAAGTTTAATAGTTCAAATGATGTAATTTCCCACTTTTGCCAGATTATCTCTGTTTTTAAAATTTTTTTAATCAAAACCTTATAGTGTAGATTTTATCATTCACCTTTTGGAAAATGTAAGCCATATAATCCAATTGGCAAAGCCAGTCCTCATGGTCAAACTGATCAGCTAAATTACATTTGCTTTATGTTGAAAAAATATCTGAACTAATTTTCCAGTTCAAAGACATGTGTTTTTATCATGGCCGCTTCACCTTTGAATTCTAATTCATAAATGGACTGATGGATGGATGAATGGATAAATGAATGGATGGATGAATGAATAGATGATTAAGATAGATAAATAGATGAATGAATGAAAGATGGATGGACGGATGGATAGATGGATGGATGAATGGATGATGGATGGATGGGGTGGATGGATGGTTGGGTGGATGAATGGCTGATGGATGGATGGGTGGATGGATGGATGGATGGGTGCATGGATGGGTGGATGGATGATGGATAGATGGATGGAAGCTTAGCATAAGTTGGTTCTCTAGATGAAATAAGGCACTGCCCTCTTCAGTATTTCTTAAGGACTCTCTATTTGCTCTTCTGCCACAGGACATTCTCTTAGGAACCATGTATTTTGAAACTGTCCTTTTGTTTGATGTCCAGATTTTTTTTGCATGTAGGAATAAGATTCAGGCTGGCTGAGAGACATGTGGTGTAAAATGGAAAGGCAGGTGTAAAGAAGATGTTCTTTTCAAGCAGGTCAACCTGAGACTGAGTACCTATGGCAGTTGAGGATCTTGAAAGCGACCCTTAAACTGACAATATTCTAGTACTTCCTGGAAACTCCTCATGTATTTCACACCACCCCAGCTTGAAAAGCAGTGTCCTAGAAGAGAAGATGAGAACTGGTGGATAAAATGAAGCTATCTAAACACAAAGTGGCCTGCTTAATTTATTATGTAGATTTTTTTTTGTCATTGCAGTTATTTACAAAGAATCCTGGAGGCCAGTTGTCAAGGATGCTGTAGGAGGGCCCCCTGCATTGAATATAAATTTGATTGGAGAATATTTAAAAGTTCCCTTCCAACTCAAAAATCTATGATATTCTAGAAAGGGTGGCACAATCTATGATGTGCATTGAGTGGATCTTAATATTATTTTAGAATCCTGACAGTATAAAATGACCTCATTATCTCTTAATAAATGGTTTTTATTTTCTCTTTAATGGTCTTTATCTCTCTGTTTTTACACATTGGTTCCATCTTCTGAAGTCACCTACTGTGCTGCCACTTAGCTAACAGGAGCTGTAATCTGCTTCATAGTACACAAATTGATTTTTTTTCTTTTTTTTTTTTACTTCAGAAACATGAAGGTCTTAAAGTGTATTAGAAAGTACATACGGGCTGGGTGCAGTGGTTCACGCCTGTAATATCAGCACTTTGGGAGGCCGAGGTGGGTGGATCACTTGAAGTTAGGAGTTAGAGACCAGCCTGGCCAACATGGTGAGACCCCGTCTCTACTAAAAATACAAAAATAAATTAGCGAGGCATGGTGGCACGTGCCTGTAATCCAGCTACTCTGGTGACTGAGGCAGGAGAATCACTTGAACCCAGGAAGCAGAGGTTGCAGTGAACAGAGGCCATGGCACTGCACTCCAGCCTGGGCAGCAGAGAAAGTGAGTAAAAAAACCAAAAGAAAAAAGAAAGTACATATGAAGGTGACACTTAATTCTGGGTTAAGGGACACGTTAGGGAGTTGGGGTACTGTGCACAGGTTGAAATGAGCAGAGAGAAAGCCTGGACTATTAACTCAGTTTTCCCATCTTGGCAAGGAAAGTTTGTATTAGACGTGTACTGTTTGTTTCTCTTACAATCAAAAAGGGAGTAGAATTCTGGCAAGTTTTCTATCTGGGTTTCTGTGATAGTTCTGCCCTAGCAGGTCTGAACTGGAAGCTGGTGGGGGCGTGGATTGGTGGAGTAAGGAGGGAGGTGTGCAGGGAGCCATCTTTTATCGTATCATTTCCTGAGGCCCCACAACGACTTCCTCTACTTCCAACACCTAAAGATAATGGCACTGGTTCCACAGCAAGTGTGGGAATGATTTTACACAATAGTATCTGGGAAAATATTTACTTCTGGCCCACTGGCAAAGGATTGGCCTTTTTATATTGTTCTGAAGTTAACTTCAGAGGAGGTCCTTCCCTGAAAAGTCACAGCTGAAGGAACTCACTGCAGACGGTGGTTAGTATTGGTTTTCATTTGTTGTCTTTGTTAGTTTTGTTCTTCTACATTTTGGTCTGAACCGCTGTTGATTGTTTCCATTTCAAGCTAACCCAGGCAGCACAATAGTGTAGTCAATAACTTCTAACATTATCCATCCTGCAGGTGGAACTGGTTATAGCAGACAGGTTTTTAAAGGCACTTTGTTTTGTGGAAGACAGAATAGGGGAGTTGTCACACTTAGAGATCTGTTTTTATCAGTGGGTCAAAAATTTAATAAGCTAGAATATTATCAAAATTCCATTTGCCCTATCAAACTAAATGTCAAAGAATCATCCCTCTGATATGAATATACCACATTCCACTTTCTACCTGATTTGTAGCTTCTAAGTGGCTGTTTGTATCAGAAGACAAATCACAAATTTGTCATCTCTATGAATTAATTGCTTGAAGGAGAATGGTTTGATTCAGAAAGGTAAGTTAGTTAAGATAAGGAGCGTTTAGTAAGTGTCATGACAAAAACATTGGCTGAGATTAAGCCAAATAGATACACAGCCTACATGGATATTAAAAATAGTTTCCCTTAAAAAGAAAAATAAAGGACTTCTGAAAAATCGAAGTCCCATTTTTTAATGGGAAAGAACAATTGGTAATATGAATTAGGGAAAAAGTCTGATAGATGCATGCATTATAGACAGGATATTATGATGACAGACATGTCACTGAGTGAATCCAGAACATTAATAGTGGATTTTCATGTAAATATCCTAGCCCACTGCACTGTCTAGAACGAAGAGAAACTCTATAAAGAGAAGCATGATGCAATCTTTTTTTTTTTTAAAGAATTACAAAGGAACACTAAGGTAGCGATCAAAAGGTTTTAAAAACTGATGCAAGCATCATTTTTTGGGGTCAATCTTTGCTTACATGCTGATGAGCCCATCATGTTTTGGGTGTTACCAGGGGTTCAGAGCTCACGTGTGGTCTTCAGGTGCATCTTACTCATCTTTGGTCTACTGAGGTTTGCATGCTCAGCATATGGGAATCACAAGACACCCTCTGGGTCCTAATAAAAATATCCAGCCCGATGAAAGCACCTGGATTATTTTTCCTGGGGTCTGAAGGCAGTTTTTTCCTCCTGCAGAGATTTCTGATTTCTCAGATATTTCCCAATAGCGAATTGGCAAATGATTGGTGTCAAAATAGGCAGAATAAAAACTTGGGGGTTGGAGATGTGAGTTGAAATGTCAGGAACATCTCTCACTGGCAGCCTTGCCTTCGACAACTCTCTTTCCCTTTTGTTGCAAGATTGAGTTAGTAATTCTACTCTTATAAACCACGGCTAAAATACTCTCTTCAGAAACACTGCTAAAGACAGCGAGCGTCTCTGTAATTCAAGGCTCTCATTCCAACGTGATTCTCATCATTATCCTCCATATAACTGAAATGAAAACCAATCTTTTACAGACTGTTCCTATGAAGGATCCTTCTGCCTTTTCATAACCTGTGTGCTGTTGTTTAATTCTCATGGAGAATGACAAGTTCCACTAAAATATGCACATGGCATCTCCAAGAAACAGAAGCAAGAATTAAAGTGAAGGGGTGGTAGGCAAAAAAGGCCAAGAATGACCATGATTAGACCAAGGAACTTCCACTTCCAAGCCGTAGCTGGCTGCATCCTCTTCATGACTCTGTAAGTGCACTGGACCACAGGTCGTCTTTTCAAAAAAGTTCTCTCTCTCTATACTCTTCCAAGTCTTTTTAGGTGAGATTCAATTTCAACGAAAGATCATTTATGCTTATTGCTTAAGTTAAGTTAATTTTTAATGCTTTTAAAAAGATGCTGGATAGTTAAAAAATATATCTGACTCCTGTGACAGAAACATTTATTTCAAGGGTGAAATATCTCAGTTCAAATAAAATAATAATTGCAGAAAATATTTAAATCAATTTATTGGTCGTATTTTGTAAAATTTCTTCTCCATGTAACCATTTGGATAAGGAAGCGGCAAAGCTCCCCCAAAAGCTATCTATCAACTCCCAACAAAGTACTTTTCAGTTAAAAGTCAACTCATACTTAGTGGGTATTTCCAACATTGACATATTCTTATGGTTTATGAATCTTCCATAATTTTAGCCAATGTTTCTTTCCGTAGTCAAGATTTCATATTGCATAAATGTGTGCAGCAAATTAAGGAAGACTTTAACACAATAGAAAACTTTTCTTCTTAAATCTCATATGAGTTTTATGTAAAAATGTCTACTATGATAGAGTAGTGAGAAAAGCAGTTCCTTTTCTGGCCACCTACATTGACCTAAATGGTAAGTGTAATAGCATGAAATAGCAAAACAGAGACGGAGAGGGGATGCCCAATGTTTCAGTGAGCACAGGTTCAAATTGTAAACTGAGGATGAAGACATGAAGATGTAATGACTGGCAGAAAAAGTTGTGAGGGAGAGAAAAAAATATATATATGTGTATATACTATCTCTCTCTCTCTCTCCATATGTAGCTGTATTTATAGCTAGCTCTCTCTCTCTCTCTCTCTCTCACATTCCTCCTTGTTCTTTCTTGCACTAAAGACCAAAGAGGCAATGGTTGGTTTCTATGGGTCAGCTTAAGAAGCAGTAAAAGAATCATGAAGTGACCAGGCATGCCATTCAAAAAAATGTCATTTCTCGCCCAGAGTAACTTCTTTGTACCTTCACTTCCAGCAATTTTAAAGTCAGTGTAATAAAATATGAAGCTTGTTTTTCTTTTTTCCAGTGGGAAAATATTTTCTGTGGAGTCTAAAAGAAACAAAAATACACCTGAAAAGAAAAAAAGGTAAGCATTCCTTACAAAAGAGAAAATTTCCCTTCCATGTTATGTGTCTACAGACAAATATTTTTCTTCACATGCACTTTTGGAGTAAGGACTATATGCGTAGCTATAGTTTACACCTGTATATACTCAGGAAGTATTTGGATTATGATGGTATGATGATAGTTGTTAAAGAAAGTTCTTTTGCATGTGAAAAAGAAAGGGAAGACAAGGCAAACAGCAGTCTGTTCAGCATTATCCTTTCAATGAATTCTACCCTTTTATACAATAAAAAGCTGTGGCTGTATTATAGGCCCTGGGTTAAATAAAAGCAAACCACACTCTTTGTTCAATAATAGTTTTATTTACTTATTTCACTGTTAACTTGGGGATAATATTCACCACAAAGTTGCAGGCATCATTTTATAGTACAGACTACAGACGATTGACTTTTTCAAGATTAAAAATGAACATGGTTTGTGACACACCTGAAATGCCTACTGAGGAAGTGCTGGCCACGAGGTAATAAAAAAAGGTAAAATTCAGTGCCTTTGGCAAAGATGTGGACACTGTTTTAGATGCGAGTATGATACATGCCCTTTGCTTACAAAGCAAATATACACCCATCTGTTTTTGGACTGCGGTTTCTCTATCCACCAGAGAGCATCTTTAAATGATTCACAGACATTTCCCTGAGAGCTTCCTGCCAAGAGAAATCAGCATGCTGATTCACCATCGTGGAAGCCCATTTTTATGTAATTATTCCTCAAGCCTGCACCAAACTTGGTAACAGTTCCTATATTTAAAAGAAAGAAGGGCTTTGCCCAAACTGTGGCCATCACATAGCTCTAAGCAGACGCCCAGAGGAAGTTTGAAGTGTTACATGTAGGAGGCTGGAAATGCCCATGTACTGGATGAGGAATGGCTAGAAGGGAGATCATGTGTTTGATTGCTTGCAGAACAGGATAAAGGATTGTCTCCTAATAACTTTCCACGCCAAGCAAAACTACATGCAAGGATTTTTAAGCCAAACTACAGATCTTCACTTGCACAGAAAACTATGTTTATGAACTCTCCAGGCCCTCCAGATACTTCTTTTACTAAGGCAAGTAACCGAGAAGCCTGTTCCAAAAGAATTATCCCTTCCATGAATTCTACTGTTTTATACAATAAAAAGTTTGTCTTTGTTGACCAATCCAGTAAAGTTTCTGAGTTCTAGGGATAAAAAACAGAGTTAATTTTCTTTTTCCTCTTTGGACTCTAAATTATTTGTTCACAACTTCAAATCTATTTAAAATATTTCTCCTTATTGCTCAGTGATATTTTATTAGATAAGCATCATGTTTGTGAACACTTTCCACTTCCCAGCCAAATAACTCCTGACTACAGTAGCAGCATGGGACATTGATGTGCACAGAATGTTGATAATATTTGTTATATTAATAAGGAGGTTATTAGATATTCAACATTTATTGAATATATGCAATTTGCCAGATTCTGTGTGAGCCACAGGATACAGAGTGATGAATAAGACCCAATTACTATCATCAAGGAACTCACAGAATACAGGATAAAAAGAGTTTTGAGTTTTGTATGTGAACTGCAGAACTGCTAAGCATTTTGGACTCCAAGAAAGAACAATAGTAAGCTTTTAGATTCTGGGGATAATCTTTTTAGCTGAAGCTAGGGTTGCCGGATTATAATTTGGGTGCGGGAAGTTTTACTAATGCTTCTTTGCAGTGGAGAGTATGGCCCCTTTATCTTTTAAATAGAATGCAACTGAGATGTGAGCCCCTTTGATTCTCTAGATGATTTTTTGGGGTGGTCTCAGCCCAGACCAGAGTGGTAGGGTCAGAACTTTGTGTGAGTCTCTGTGGTTCTACCAGAACAAACATAGGCCTGATATTCTAGCAACGCATTTGGATGACTTCCATATATCCAAATACACTATCCGTCTCTGCGCGAAGCTGTGAACGTGATGTGTGCCTAATAATACTAACACTTGCTCATTTCTGAGCCGTACAACAAAACACTGTGCAGTTACAAACTTACGTGGGGTATAGTCATTTTATGAACTAGATCTTCTTTTCTCATTTTTATTTTCTTATCATGAGCCTCCCTTCCCAGACATTAACACTAAAGCCAGAAAAGGAAAATGGAATTCTCCAGTTCTAAAGAACATTGGGTTACCATTCTAGAAACCTTTCTCAGGTCTGCAATGTTGACTCACACATTAATGCTGGGAGAGGCTGAAGATTTAGAGTCATCAGAACAGGAGAAGAGAGTGTAACTTAAGCGTGTAGAAAGGAAGCAGTAAACTTGTCCTTGAACCTATTAAGGGCTAGAGTTGATACTGTCTAAATAAGTTTGTTGCACGTGGTATTGGAGCAAAATATTCTTTCAGAGGAGGTGCTAGAAGTAGGGTTCTTTAGGTTAAAAAAAAATAACTTTGGAGTGTTGTAATCTATACAGTTTCAGTTCTGTTATGAGAAATGCTATTGCAAAACCAAAGCAAACACCTGCTACCTAGAAACTCTATTTTGTGAGTTTGCCCGACCTCAGGTGCTGGGTTGGAGTGGTATTTGAAACCATACTACTCCGGGTTTGCCAACAAATTTCAAAGCTTCCTTGGTTACCTTCCAAATTTCAAGATTTTGTGGTGTTGAAATAGAGTAAGTAAATAACTTTACAGAATATAAAATCTGAAATTTTCAAACATTCACCCAATATACCATTTTACTTTCGTCATGGTAGCTGCTGACCTCAGTTTTGACCGATTTGGCATCAGAAGGCAAATTAGAGAAGCTTCGGTGTTGTTGCTTAGTTTGAGCAATGAGGATAAAACCCAGAAAGTTTAGGTTAAGTGACAAGCATTCCTAAGGACATGTAACTAAGCAGTGACCAAACTGGTCCAGAAACTTCAGGTTCCTCATCCTAAATTCATTGCTTCTTTGACTATACTGCACTATTTTCACTCGTCCTCTGAAGCTGCCAGGGGAAGATTGTGCAATTTCCTGGAATATGTCCCCATCCTTGAATCATCTCTACTCAGATAGGTACAGGACACCCTGACTGATCCCTGGAATCCTTCTCTGTGCCACTCTGGTATTAGACTTCTCCGCTGTGACAGAGCCTTGGCATCCTTCTTTCCTCCCTGAGTCAGAGCTGAAACAGCCAACTGTGCATCAGAGCTCTGTGCTCCAGCTTCTCTCTCGATACATGAAGGGGCTTCCAGCGCTCTGCAGAGCAATGAGCCCTGCACGAGGGCAACGTAGGAAGCCTGACAGAGAAAACTGATATGCCTTCTAGATCTTTAGCCACAGCAGGGTCTAACGCTTAGGCTTCTTGTTTGTTTTCATTCCGTCAGAGTCTACAACTATTGTACACTAAAGGGTAAAGAGAAATGAAAAATATGTAGAGAGTCAAGGCTGGGCTTAAGAGGCAAAGGGTGACTAGGAGAATAGGGAGGACTAGCATAGAGGCCACAGGGAGCTGATGGGCAAAGGAGAGCAGAGCCGAGGGATCTAGGGGACCAGAGAGAGCTCACTTCTCCTAACCATCTGGCAATGCCTGGAGAATGGAGATTGAGTGTGTGTGTGTGTGCTTGTGAGAGAGAGAGAAGGAAGAAGAGGGAGAAAGAGAGAGAGAGAGGCAGAGAGAGAGAGAGAGATTCTCCATGTGTAGTTTATTTTAGGTTTGATCATTTTCTTCTTTCAAGCAAAGTGGCTAATCTTGAAATGTCTGCAAACCTCATGCATATGGCATGAAATAATTCGATTCCCAATTTGGGATGAAGACATTTTGATCTTAGGTAAGTGCTGAATATCTCCTGTAATGACAAGCCCTTTGAGAAATGCACGTGTAACTAAGGTCCAATTATAAATACTCACTACATCTTCAATTATGCTTTTAAATTATTCATATTCAAAAGAACCTATTTTGCTTGTTTTCTTTCTCTGAAAGTGACCCAAGAAATGGACATACCTTTCTATAAAATCAGTAGATAGTATTTAAATGCAGCTTTCATCCATAAGAGGCTTAAAAACAATTCTATAATAAAACCAGTAAAACAAAAAAGGGAGACCTAGAGTCTTGGATTTGTTCCTTTTCTGCTATTATTAGCATCACAAAAGGACAAGGATAAGGAGATAATCATGTTTAAGGAGATTGGAAGTGACTCTCAAAGTTCTGTTAAATTTCAGGGTTTCTCCTTTTCTCAAATTTAATTCTATTTCTTTTTTTTTTTTAATAAAAGAAACAGCCCTTTTGGGAGGGAGGCAAGATAGGAGTTTCCAAAAGGATGGGAAGTGCTGAAGTACTGGGACACTTGAATAAGCTTTCACATATTTATTAGTGCCAGGCCAACTTGAGAAATAAAATATAGATGCAATTGCTTACTAGATGTTTCACAGGTGGATAATATGACATTCTGTAGTTTGCTGTGTACATATTAGAAAATCGTCTGTTTCTTTCTTGTTCTTTGGTTGAATGTGGGCCCAAAAAAATCATTCTTACAATTATGCTGATTGTTTTTTTTTTTCCCTGTGTAAAATGATTTCAGACACAATGGTGGAGCTTTGTTCAGTTCCCATCAGATTTAACTAAAGAGTGGTTTTAAACATTTACGTTGAAGTGACCGTTGACTTTTTATTACCTAGAAAGAGTTAGGTGCTTGGTGATGCCAACAGGATGACATGTTTCTTCTTCTTAGCCACAGGAAAGCTCCAATATACTCTATTCATTGCTCAAGTGGACCTTAAAGAATCACTTTGAAAGGACACCATGGCTGACGACTGAAGAGTCATATTTATCAACATTAAATAAACACTTGGTGTAGTATCCATAAATATTTCTGCATATAAACATAACACGAAATTAAATAGTTCAGATACACAGACACCACTGAGTACACTTCTACTGTTGTCAAAGTCGTCTGTAAACACCACCTCACACTGAATACAAAAGCAGCTTCTACCCAGCTCTGGGTTCACAACACGAATGCCCTGTACAAAGGGAAGATATCTCCGCGGCCCTCCCACCTCCCTCCCCTCCCTCTCCCCAAACAGCCCCGGCAACAGGAAAAGAAACCCCAACAGCTACAGCAGCAACAACAACGACAATGATGGCAGCACCCCATCCCCTCCCCAAATGAAACAGTTAACATTTTGGTCAATTCAAGGGAGAATGCAAAAAAACAATTTTTTTTTTTTCCCAAAAGGTAAGGAAATCAATTTGAAGCATTACTTTTCAGAGTGTAATTCTTTCTTCAGAGGACATGTAACTTCCTAAAACCTCACCTATTCCTGGGTGAAGGTTACACAATGAACACCAGAAAGCACTGGCCACAGCTGATTAACAAAGGTGCAAGCCCTATTTTCTTTGAGAAGGTGCCATTCAGCAAGAATCAAACACAATGTTCTCCTTCATTCTCTCTTACCATGTTTTTTTTTTTGCTTTGCCATATATATATATATACACATATATATATATTGCTGTGTATGACATTCAAACGTGACACTATTATTGAGTTTCAAGCAGTTTAGATAGCAGAAATTTTGTTCTGAAACATTCAGATTTAGATGATTAAATTCAAACGTGTGGATGTGGTTCATTCTTTGAGCTCAGAGGGGCCCCGATTTAGCTCTGTTGAGACATCAACAAAGGAGGTTGCTTAACACCAAGTCTGGCGAAGCCACGGCGCTCAGCTGACTCACGAGCCTGTCCGCTCTGCACAGACCTGCTGGGAAGGCCTGGCTGCTCTCTGTGGAAAACAGCCCTGGTTTCAAAAACATTACACTGGGCTTATTTCACGTTAATGTTGCATTAGGATCCTAGAGAACTTCAGTTACCAAAGTACTGAAAGCGTATGTTGCAGGAATAATTTGCCAGTTCAGTGTTTCCCATGATATTATATACACTATGTGTGTGCGTGCAGAACTCACACATATATATATACTTAAGTATTTTTATTTGTACGAAACTTGAACTGCACAAAACAGTACTTTGCAAGAATCAAGAATCAAGTCCACAAATAGAGTTTAACAACACACCAAAGAAAAGACAGGAAGCTCTATTGGGACAAGAAGATTCAGCTTTGCAACGTATGAAATAATTTTGGAACCACAGATTCGTAAGCCTGCAGTGTTCCACTTGGGGTCTGGATTCCCACTTTTGGGATCCTTGGGAAGAATGTGGGAACTGGGTCAGCTATGCTCATCTGAGATTCCAAAGCTAATGGGAATTAAAGGACCCAGGCAAATCACTTTGGGTATATAATTGCCGTCAAGCAATATTTTTCTCCTCTTTAAGAAAAAAACACGTAAAGTCTATTTCAGAATAAATTTCTTTATATTCAGTAGTATGTTTTTTTTTTCTTTTTGCTGAATTGGTATTGACTTTTTCTATTAAAATGGGTTTATTCAATGGATCAGTAAACAGGCAGCTTCTTTCACATCTGGGTGATAAAACCATTTTTATCATCACCAGAAGTCACCCCGCCCTCGCCTTCCTCCTCCTAAGGTCTGTGGGTTGATGTGTGCGTTTTGTCACTGCTATTGATACAACCTCATTCTACAAGGCCTGCTCGGGTGCGCGCTTGTGAAAAATGACCGACTGTCTCTGCTGGTACTGCTGCTTGCGCCTCTTTTTTTTGTCACACTGGCACAGCAGCAGCATCTTGAAAGTGGTTCTGAATGTTTTGTTGCACAGAGCATAGCACACGGGGTTCACGGTGCTGTTGATGTAGCACAGCCAGTAGCCCAGATTCCAAAAGGTTTTGGGTATGCAGCTGTCACAAAAGGTGTTCACCAGAACCATGATGTTGTATGGGGTCCAAGTGATGATGAAGGCAAGCAAGATCGCACTGAGGGTCTGGGCCGCTTTCTTCTCCTTGACCAGGGACATCCTTTTCCGCTTAGTGATCTGACTTCTGGTCTTCAGAGCAAACCTCTTGGCCAGAGTGGCTTCCTTGAAGGACAGAGGTAGAGTGGCCGTGCTCTTACCCACTGAGGAGTTGACGTCAGAAGTCTTAGCTGTGTCCACGGCTGACTCTAGCTGGATGGGAAGCTTGGAGAAGCTTTTTGGAAAACTGCCTCCATCGTCCACGCTCTTCTGGGCCTGCAGCTTGTCGGCTTTCCTCTCCAAGTCCACCATCCCCAGCTCCTCCTCAGGCACCTGCAGGTTGTCCGATGAGGGTAACTTGGTGGAGTTGAGGATGGTGCTGTGACCCGGAAGCTTGAGCACGATGGAGTAGATGGCTCTCGTCTCGGAGCCAATGTCCTCCTCGTCGGAGGAGGCGGAGTTCTCCAGGGAGGCAGCAGCATCATTGTTGTTCCAACTGTCACTGCTGCTGTGGTCTTGGTCCATCTGCTCGGAGCTGGGTTTCCAGCTCTTGGTTGTGAACCAGAAGTGGCAGCGGCCATACTTCCTCCTGTTGGAGCGTTTCATGCTTTGCTGTTGAAGTTCGTAACTGCTGCAGCTTCGAGAACTGCCCGTGGGGTGGACAAAGTTTTCTGTCTCTGCCTCTGTCCCAGAGGCTTGCAGGCCAGCAAGCTCTTTGGTACGCTTTTCAGTTTCCTTATAGATCCTCCAGTATAAAATAGTCATAATGGTGACAGGCATATAAAAAGCAGCGATGGCTGTGCCAAAAGTAATGGTGGGCTCACTGAGGAACTGAATGAAGCACTCTCCCGGAGGCACAGTTCTCTTTCCAACAAAGTATTGCCAGAACAAGATGGCAGGAGCCCAAAGGACAAAGGAGATGACCCAAGCCAGACCGATCATCACACCGGCTCTCTTTGTTGTTCGTTTGGCTCGGTACGTGAGCGGCCTCGTGATGGAAAAGTATCTGTCAAAGCTGATGACCAGAAGATTCATAACAGAGGCATTGCTGGCTACGTAGTCAATGGCAAGCCAGAGGTCACAGGCCAAGTTCCCTAAGGCCCATCGATTCATGATGATGTAGGTCGTAAACAGATTCATTGAAATGACCCCGATAATCAGATCGGCACAGGCCAGGCTTAAGAGGAAGTAGTTGTTGACCGTCTTCAGCTGCTTGTTGACCTTAAATGACACAATTACCAGGATGTTGCCGATGATGGTCACCAAGGCCAGGATGCCCGTTAAGAAAGCGATGAAGACCACTTGCCAGACGGTATGACCTCCCAGAGGGTCATCGGTGGTACCGTCTGGAGAGGAGAAATTGCCAGCTGCTCGAGAAACATTGTAGCTGCCGAAATGAGTGACGGTTCCCGGGGGCAGCCCTGCATCGGAGGGGCTGTGTATCCAGGAGGAGCTGATGTTTGGAAACAAAGGCGAGGTTGTACTGTTATTGTGCAAGGTCATTGTGACTCTCTGACATAGTCTGGGGGAAAGAGAGAAGAGACAGAGTTAGAAAAATTTCTGCCTTTATTTGTTTGTTCTTTGCATTACATACGTTAAAAGACATGGAAGGCCTATTACAGGGTGCTGAATCTCTATGAAGCCAAACATCAAGTTCATTCTCTTATTTTAAATAAGTGGAGTCTAGGGCAGACAGACATCGATTTGTTTGAGATAGTATTATATAATTGGTGGCATGCACTGAACATTGTGCTTTTTTCCCACATTTTTCTCATTTCTAAATATATTCCATGTAATTCTGTTACTAGACAAAATCGCCCTTACTTCTCTTATTTTGTAAAGGTGAAAAATATCAGACATTTCTATTACAATTATCCAAACAGCTTTATCTTCATGCTAAATTGATAACTTGACTTGATTTGCATTTTATCTATCTGGGCATTTACCCATCTGAGGCTTCAGAAATACGCAACTTTAAGGTGATACCAGCCATTTAAGTCTTACTAAAATGAGCAATGCCAACCTGGAGAAGGGATAAAACCAATGTAAATCAATTCACACTATATTGCCTCTTTGAGACAGGATCAAAAAAGTAAGACATCCGTTCCTTGTAAGGACTGGTAACACGACTATCTCCTGGAAAGCTATCTTCTACTTGATAACATGCAGATGAACTTTTAGCAGAACGTTTTGAATGGACCAAACCAGCTTTAAATATTTCTAGTATTTAGATATTTTAGATCCAAGCATGAAAATGTATTTTAGCGTGTCACACATATGTGAACAAATGGACACACCCACACACATTTGCATATAAAAACTGCAAAACTGCAACTAGTGCTTTCACACACTTGTTGCCAGAGTATATGAACAACTAAGAAGCATTACAATTAAGGTGCCACAGTTAGACCTCCTTGGTGTCACTGTTGGCCTCGGTTGTGACCTGTACCATTCTCTCAGAGCCTCCAGGGCTGTACTTCTGGGACACCACTGGCTCAGGAATTCACACACCGCCAGCCACCGTACACTAGATAAGCAAATCATTCCTCAATCAGTGTCATTCTATGAGTTCAAAGTTTGATCATCCCAGCAAAAATCTATTGTGTACCCTGCTACTACATTTATGCTCTTGGTTAAAAAAAATCTTCAACAATAAACTCTTACAGATAAACATACATATGCAAGTGCATTGCAAGAGTCCTGAATCAAGCCTTAAGGTATTGAATGCCAGAGTTTTCTCAGAGTGTCTCTCAAAGCAGTAGTCAGATTCACACAGAGACTTCTGGAAAGGCTTTCTGGCATAGCAGGAAGACTATGGGGTCAAAAGGCCTAGGTTCAAATCTGTTTGACTACTTACTGGAGGTGAGAACTTAGATATTTAACTTCTTTGAGTCCAAGTTTTCTCATTGAAAAATGGGAATGATAATTTTCTGTATAACAGAATCAATTGTTGATCAATTCTTTCCAGAATTCAATAAGTGGCCAAAGAAGCTTCGTTTCTCATCAAAATGTTTTAACATATATAAAGTACTTAGAACAGGAGCTGATACAGTAAATGCTATATGAGTATCTGTGATTATTATCTTATTCTTTTTATTGAACAATGAGCTCTCTTTGCTTTGGCTGCCAGGATGCTCAGAGCTAAATTTAGTGCAATAATAAATGTTAGTAGAAATTATTTATTGGACATTTACTGTGTGGTACGTGTTGTGCAAATGCATCATATGCATTATCTTATTTATTATATTATATTTTTTGAGACAGAGTCTTGCCCAGACTGGAGTGCAGGGGTGTGATCTTGGCTCACTGCAGCCTCTGCCTCCCAGGTTCAAGTGATTCTCATGCTTCAGCCTCCTGAGTAGCTGTGATTACAGACATGTGTCACCTTGCCTGGCTAATTTTTGTATTTTTAGTAGAGATGGGGTTTCACCATGTTGACCAGGCTAGTCTCAAAACCCCGGCATCTAGTTATCTGCTCATCTTGGCCTCCAAAAGTGCTGGGATTATAGGCATGAGCTACCATGCCCAGTGTATTATCTCATTTAATCCTTAAATAACCTCACTTTACAGAAAGGAAGACACATTTAAATAATCTGTGCAGGGAATTTAGCTAACAAGGTGATGTCTGGGAGGACCTAAAGAGTTCCATCCAGACAATCTGAACCCACAGCCTCCATGTGTAACTGTGAGGCTGTGCTGCCTCTCCACCAGCTCCTTCCAGGTGTCCTATACAACTAGCACCTCCTAGCTGGTTAAAAATCATCACACGCCTCCTTAAGGTGGAATTGATGTGCATGTTAAAATTAATGAGATACTCTTTATCACCTGAAACAATGGCAAAGATGCAAACGATTTGATACATTCAGCATTCACAGTAGTATGACAAAAATAATCAATTTTCATGGTCTTGGGGTTGCAGTATAAATTGGTCATTTGAAAGACAATTTTGCAGTTTGTCAAAAATGCCAAAATCCATGATCTCAGGAGCTGTCTGACTCTATGTATACACATAATACCTATAATGTTAGACATAAATACACTCACATATGCACATATAAATACATGTACACATGTTCACCTTAGTACTCTTTGAAATAATACAAAATTTGAAATAGTCTAAATATTCTAATATAAAACTCAATTACAGAGAGGAATAACACAAAATATTCTGTATAATCTAATATTATTTTCCCATAGCTGAAATATCTGACATTGCACTGATTTTCAATTATAGGAAATTGACAAGACTATTCTCTTTTACTTTTTTTAAATATTTGGGTTTTATTAGGTGTCAACTTACACTTAACTCTCATTCTCCCTCACTGAGTGATGTCTGGGTTTGGGAAGTGTTACACACTGTTTGTAGCCCACAATTACATTCAGGATTTCTTCCAAGATGCATGTACAGAAGATCTGTCTGCTGCTCTCCCCCCATCCAGATACCAGTTTACTGCAGTTCTAAAGGTGTTTGCCTTGTTATCTCTCCATTGCACCTGTGACTATGTATATTCACAAGGACAGATGTGCCTTTAATCAGGTCAACACCCTGTCTCTGAGGTTAATAACTACTATTACTATTGGTCTACTGGGGAGTCTGGGGTGCCTCTTAAATGCTCTCGGCCCCATACGCCGATAAGTGGCATTTGGTCCTCTTTAGATTATCATCTTTATTCATCCAGTTTGGTTTTCCAGCACCGGGCCTGTGTTTATTTCTCATGTACTCTGAAGGGCCTTTCTCTTTCTGAAATCTCCTTCACTCCTGAGATTCCTGAACACAGCAGCTACGTTTCCTCATTTCTACTATCTAGGTCTCTGCTTTCATGTCCCATGGGAGGTAATCATGTCCTGTAGCCCCATTTTCAGGACTTATGCCATGCTGGTTTTATTATAAATAATGTAATGCCCAATCATCCCGATGCTATATTCATATTTGTGCTGATGATACTTCTTTCTTCTTTCATCTTTGTTGGTTAAAGCCATGCAGTGGGTATCTACTATTTGTCTTTCTTTCAGCTGTCTTTTTGGAAATAGCCTGTCACCCACAGTATGTAGTTTGGGACAGGCATCAATCAGATGGTCCTCGCTCCTCTACCACAACAATGAACATGAAGAAGACCCAGGCAGGAGGGTTGATTTGGAGATTTGATGTGGATGTTGGAATGAGACAGTGATTCTCTTATATTTGGAATTACTAGGTGCTGATCACCCTATTTGCCACCACATGGGAAATCTAGAGTAAGCAAACATAGAGGAAAGGCATGAAGGAAGGAGAGAGATGGGAGGGAGTATGGGAAACAGAGACAGCATGATGATGATGTCCTTTGAAACCTGAATTTAGCCACTCCTGAGGTGAACACCACCTCCTTGACCTTGCCTTTCCTTTGTTGCCTGGGCTACCAGAGATACTTTCTGTCACCTGCAACTAAAAGGTGTTCTGTCTTTGTCAATATCAGCACAAGCTCATTTAACCACTGCTAGCTTTAGATTATGGTGACTGGTGCTGTGGAATTCAGGGATTCCACAGCCTCTGCATTTCATAAACTCACCCCCAGGTAAGAGATGGAATACAAATAAAAGATTTTTAAAAACACAAAGTTATTTAGGCAATATCAAATTACTCTCTGTGGATAATCACATTATGTTTGTATACATTCAACAGCAATTTAATTTGCTCAGTTGACCTATATTGTTGAAGAATATAAGTAAAAATTTTCGAAATTAGCCTAAGGTCAGTTGTTTTCTTTTAGTTCATTTCATCCTGTGAATCTGAAGAGCCCCCCCAAATGAATAGTATTCTAGTCCAATTATGCTTTGTTTGAATACAGAAAATGAAAGAAGCCAGAATTGAGGAAAGTCAGCTATAGGTGAGTTTAGCTCTCTATATTAGGTTAATTAAATACCTGTTTATCTTTGACCTGTACTCTTTGTCATATCTACCATTGGCCATCATTCTTCTTACACTTTGACATTCATTCAATATCTAATACGTTTCTGAAATTCTCAGAGATGTGCTTTTCCTTATTTAAAAATGTTCCAGTCCTTTTCTGTCATGCAATAGATGTGCAGTATGAGATGAGCAAAAATTTTAAAGGTAGACAAGAACCATTAGAGGGAAATGACTTATAGGCATTTGCTTACCCATGTGATACAACATCCAAAGGACAAGAGTTAATAAGTTAACGAGTTAATAGTCAATAACCATGGCAGTCCTAATGCTACCCTTGGGTTTCCTTCTAAGAACCTCAGATATTAAAGCAACGAGAAAAGAAGGGAATGTGGTATATGAACATAACTTTGAGGAAAATAAAGCCTTTTGAATGGGAAGCAGAAATTTTAAGCAAAGCACACTACTAAAACCCACTGTGACTTCTAGCTACGAAGACAGAAATGTTTAGGAAGTCGTGGGTACTCATTTGGGGTTCTGATGTGATGAGATACATTAATACCACTCTATTAATAAAGATGATGTTCTCATCGTCATTAATTTTTTTTATTAGAAAGCAATAGAGCAGAGTTGAAAAGCTGTGGTCTTTCTTTGGAGTTTTGCTGATTTGGGTCTGAGTTCTGGGTTGGCCCAGGAGATGTATAAACTTACCAAATTACTTGACTATTTTGAGACGACCTTTCTTCATCTATAAAACTAGAATACTATCGCCTGATCTGTAGATTATGGAGAAGATAAGAAGCATTGTGGTGTTGTAGGCTAATACTCTGAAGTATTAACGGGGATCTTGCCTCCCTTCTCCCAATGCTAACTTTTTGTGTTCTCAGGGTTGTGTTGTTACTTTAGAAACACAGGGAGAAAGAAACCAGTGTTTCCTCATTTTTTGCTTTTTAAAGTAGATTTTAAATACTCTGGTAGAGAGAAGGGATTTAAAGATAAGGGCTTTGAAACTGCAAACACTTGGTCTTCTGAGCATCAATGCATGGTATACTGACCTACACACTAGGAAAATAAGAAAAATCTCCCCTTGCCACATCCAGAGTGAATAAATTGATAATAAGTACTACAAAAAGGTGATTTGGAAGTATTAATTAAAACTGAAAAGGCATGTACACCATGAACTAGCAATCCAACTGCTAGGTATCTACCCTCTAGAAATTATTGCATTCGTATGTACACAAGGAGACACGCCCAAGGCTATTAACTGAAGCATTTATTTTTATGACAAAAATGAGGAAAATCTATAAGACCATTCGTTTTGAAATGAATTCAAAAATGAGGTCATTCATAAAAGGGAATACTATGCAGCAGATAAAAGCAATCAACTAGATATATATTAACTTAGAACCATCTAAAAATACTTTGTTAAGTAAGAAAGGCAAGTTGTGGGATGACAAATACAACACGATAAAATTTAGTTTACAATAAAACACAGCAATAGTATACTAAAGATTGTACATGCCTGTATACTAAAGGTTGTATACAGACATATAGACAGATACCACCTTTAGTATATTAATATAATTAAAATTGTCATAGAAGGATAGAAAGATTTACATGCAAATCATATATTAGCAGTGGTATTTTGGAGGAGGAAGATAAAATTAGGATTGAGGGTGATGGACAAAGAAGACTTCAGCTCAATCTGTAATGTCCCGAATGAGGAAAAAAAAAAAAATCCCAAAGTTTCCGAAGCCAGAAGGAAGTGAAGAAGAGAGTTAAAAGGGGGCAGATATTGGTGATGGTTGCCAAGGAGGGCTTGGAATCTTGCCTTACACTCTGCTGTTGCTTTTAAATGCGGAGAAGGTTGGAGGAAAAAGAGGTCGCATCTGATAATATTGATCAGACTCAAAGAAGATGCGTGCCTCATGCCCTCCTGTCTGGTGCCCAGAGGTGGCAGCTGCTCAGAGGTCACTAGGTCACCATGGCAGAAGCACCGATGACCTGAATGCCTGTGGTAATGAATTCTTCCTTAGTCTTGCCTAAGACGTAAACTCAGCTGGGCGAACACCTTGATTTCAGTGTTGAGACCCTGAACAGGGAACCTTGTTGTAAGCTGCTAAGTTTGTGGTGATTTGCTATGCAGAATGGGGCCACAACAGGCAGCTTCGAGGCAAGTTATACAAAAATGAAATGACTGATCTTGCTCGCCTGAATACGATGGATTAAAAATATTATACACACTTTACATGTAAATGAGCAATGTATTGTCTCACACATAAGAAATCCTAGTTCTACTTGGGTTGTGGATTTTCTCCCCTCATTGCTGTAGGGGCCTTTCTTGCCTTCGTCCCTCCAAGGGAATATTCAGCACCTGCCATACCTCTTCTGAGCACACTGTCTTTTCTCGACAGCCCAGGTGAGGTACATTCCTGGTGCTCCCCAATCTATTCATATCAAGGCTGTACCCAGCTTTATCAAGGAAGACAATGTCCCTATAGGGCCAGGAAACAAGATCCCTCCCACCTTCTTTCAGACATTTTCTATGAACTTCTCCGAGGCCTTGGGGCCACGGCCTCATTAAAAGGACTGTTCTCTGGAGGCTCAGCAACGGAGGTCCTATCGGTACCCAGGATGACAACAGGAGAAAGTGATCAGCCGGTCATAAGGATTTCAAAAAAAAAAAAAAAAAAGAATATCTAAAAGTACTTATTAGAAATGAGAGTCACCAAATGTTTTACTTCAGGTATATCTATTATTTCATAGGTAATATGTAACTTCCTGAGAATCAAGACTGTAGGTCAGACCCAAATGAAGCAGTGATAACCCCGGGCTAAGAGCCCTCAGTTTACGGTGATTTTCTGAGTAGAAGGTATCATTCCTATGTTTAATATTCCTTCCTCATCCTGACTCAACAGCTATTCCATAGCATTAGGATATTTTGAGTCAAGGAAGTTCACAGTCTACACTCATTGAATTGAATGATATTGGTGAGGGGACCTACAGGAAGTCTTTCCTTGTAATGCTCAGGAATAAACAGGTGGTGGGAACAGAGATCCTTGTCAGCCCAGTGACCTTCGCACTTTATAAGTAATCCCAGGCAAGAGTTCTAGGAATGCAGCCTGCATGAGGGCTCAGGGCATGGTCAGATAGGGGCAGACCAGGGGCAGGTGCCTGGCTCCTCTCTGGGGTCAGAGCAGGCTCCCTCCCTGCCAGGTTGTGGGTGCAACATTCAGGGAATGGTTACTGAAGTGTTCCAGGCACCAGAGCTCAGGCAAGAAGTGGAAAACTGCGCAAGATCCTGCACGTGGGTACCATCAGTGCCTTTGTGGGGAAGTTACATCTGTGTGTATGTATATATACTTAGTATATATATACGATATACTTAGTGTACTTATATCGTGTATATATACTATGTACTTAGTATACTTACTTATATACAATGTACATATACTTAGTGTATATATACATTGCATGTTGAACTTACTATATATATACACACACACTACACACACACACTAATTGGTCCGCTAATTGGCTGTTGCATTTTGAACTTGGTATGTGTGTATATATACATGTGTGTGAGTATATATACACACATATATACGTATGTATATACATATCATATACATACATGTGTATAGATATGTGTGTATATATGTATATGTGTGTATATGTATATGTGTTTATATATGTATATATGTATTTATGTATATATACACACACACTAAATTCAATAGATATATATGCGTGTGTGTATATACACACACACACACACACACACACACACACACTGAGTTCAAAATGCAAGAGCCAATTAGTGGGCCAATATGAGAATTAAAAAAGAAAAAAATGTACAGCAAATTGAATAGGACGTATCAGAATGCATACCACATAATGACAATCAATATCACTTCATTAAATTTTTGCTCGACATACACACACGTATAAAATTATGTCTATAGTCATGATGTACGTACAATGTATTTTGTGTTGAATAATGTTGGAAAGCCACTGCAGTGGATATTTTGACATCTTTTATTAATATTTAAAAGAAGAGGGTGAAACAAAAAATGTGAAAAAAGACAAAAAAGTTTGACAGTACTGAATTTAGGAGAAATTGAAGGTTAGTTCTAGGAAATTTGCCTTCTTCCCCCTAGTTATGGCAAAAAATAACTTTTCTGGGGTTATAAGTCTGTGAAATATATAGGTAAATTTAAAAAATTTAAAAATGTGTAAATATCCAGTGTGAAATACATGTGAGATTGCTTACAGAAACGGACAAGGCCAATATACATGTGAGGCTTCTGGTTATAATGAATTCCAAGGAGATAAACTCATTTCATGTCCTCTGAGCCAACCGGGCAGTACCTACTTGGGAAAAATGTTTGAGGGCTCTCGATTTTTAAACCTGCTGAACCAATTAAAAGCGTATAAATTTTTCTAGAAGTCTAAATTAATTCTACGTCTATAATAATAATTATTTTTTTAAGTGATGATATGGGAAAAACCCAAAATATCTTTGCAACATACAGCCGTGCGTTTTTTCTCAGACCAACTATTTAGTGCCTCTTCCCTATTTGTAATCCAGTCTGCGTCATTTTTCAGGGCTTGTTTTGGGTCTCTGACTGCCTTCTTTGCTTAGAGTGTCTCTGTTTTCTGTCATAATTCACTATAGCATTCAACGGCTAAAATGACTTTTAAAACTACCTGGTGAATGGCAATACCACATCAAACCACTAGGTGGCAAAGCAGACTCGGAGAACGACCTCTCTGCCAGCAGGCGCTGAAGCAGCTACCCGTTCCCCATGCTGGTGACCAGGAACTTCAGCTTAGCTCAGTCATGCAGTTCGCGGAGGATATCAAACAGAGTCAACAAAGCTTTGCAATCAAACGTGTCTTTAAAGGGAATCCAACTTGTGAACCTGGCTCTTGATATTCATTTGAAGCTGCAAGGGGGAAAAGATGTTACCTAATATGGAGCAATGGCTCTTATTGTGAACAAAACATCTCTGAACACCAAAACCGGAATAAAATTCTATTTAAAAAGGGGAATTTTTTTTTTAGAAAGTTGATTTATCTTGCTGCCTCCTCCCTCGGTTGCCACTTTTCATGGGTTTTTACTTGATTTGATAAATATGGACCTTGACAACAACAATGCAGGGTGCTTGGAAAAGGATTTGCATCAGGACCTCTTACGTGTAGCAGTAGCTGCTGAAATAACAGTTTTTCCTCAAAAACAAAAACCTAGATTCGACTGATGTTTCCTTGCATTAGCACTCGCAAGTCTAAAACCTTTTGTCATTAGAATATCTAAAGAAATGGCACGAAGTGAAAAGCAGGCGGGAGAGGTTCTTGTTAAATATTAGTATGACCCCTTCACCCAGAAAGGGCAGACTCCTTGTTGCTGAAGTTACTCTTTTCTGAGAGAAACAGGGAAAGAGTGCAGCTGGATTCTGTTCCACTGCAAACAGATTTGCTGATTACTGTTCAACATTTTAAAGAGGTATTTATTATTATGTGTTTTTAATACTGTGCCTTTATAGTGGAGGATAAAGAACAGTGCTTTTAAAATACCAGCTGATCTAATATAACTGTGGAAGTTATTCTGATGAAAAATCTAGTGAAAACAGTCATTTGGACTAAATATTTCTAATATGTCAGTTTAGGTACTGAAAGGACACCTGGTGAAGAAAATTCCTTTGGCTTAATATTTATGCTTTCATGATTAAGTTAGACTCGTGATCGCTTTTTTTTTCCAGGTCCATATTTATCAGAGTATTTATTTTTATATCTGGACATGTTCCACACATCTGATTTCCCTTCAGACTTCAGCCTATTTGCACGCCCCAACTCATGCACGCAGATAGAACTGTATATTTGCAAAGAGAGTAGAAGCAATGTGGGAGGCGCGCATTAAACGCCTAACAACCTGCCATAGCATGCAGGGCCAGGAAGTACACCCGATTCTGCCACGTGGGCACATTGCCTAGGCACTCTGATCCTACATCCTCATCTACAAAATGAGGATTATAATACTTGAGGATGAAATAGAATCTGTATAAAGCACCCAGTATAGCCTGACTGGCCCACAGCAGTTTCTCAAAAATGGTAAAATCAATTCCATAATTTTTCTATGGCTGGTTGACTTTACAGCAAGGTCTTTTTCATGCCTAACAAGAGCTAACATTTGTTGAGTATAAAGCAGTGGTTTTCAACCCAGGGTGACTCTGCCCTAGGGGATATTGGGCAATGTCTGGAGCCACTTTTCTTGTCACAACCTGGGGAAAATGTGCTACTGACATATAGTAGGCAGACGCTATCAATGCTGATAAACATCCTACAATGCACAGGACAGCTCCCCACAAAGAATTAAGGCTGCTAAGATGTTGATAGTGCCGAAGCTGAGAAACCCTGCTCTAAAGGGAGATCATACAGACCCAGAAAAATGTAGAGTTGTGTTTCTCAGGAAAACCAGGAAAATGTCCTGATACTAATTAATGAGGCAAACTCCACATCTCTTCAAGAATCAGGTCCCACTTCTCTGGAAATCACATTCTTCACCCACCCAGCAAAAAAGGAATCTCATATTCACGTGTTCAACTCTTCAATCATTATTTCACACAGTAAATGTGTTTGAGTACTGCCTACAAGGCTTAGACTGGGGATGTGGTTCTTGTTCTGGAAAACCACTTGTTGGCAATGCCATGAACTAAACAAAATAATTGCAGTGGAAGGAGCAGTATAGATGATTAGCTTTGCTTGAGTTGATGTGGTGGTAGCAAAGATAAGGACATTTTGTGAGTCTTGAGGAATAAGACTCCAAGCTGCCATGTAGTCAAGAGAGGACACAGCATTCCAAACAGAGGGAAGAGCCTATGTCCCCGATGCACTCTGCACATATTCCTGTTACCTCACAGAGCACTTCACTGTGTCTCTCCCAGGACGGCACAGACCCCGGAGGGACACTTTCATCTTCACCTACTCAAGTTTGTGCCTTGAGAGTTAGCATAAATGTCTTTCCCAGAGCAGACCTAGAACGATTGCCTCTACTCTGTTTTAATTGAGATGAATAGTTACATTTTGTTGTTGTTTTTTAACCTCGAGGTTCAGGGGTACATGGGCAGGTTTGTTACATAGGTAAATTATGTGTTGTGGGGGTTTGGTTTACAGATTATTTTGTCACTCATGTAATGAGCATAGTACCCAACAGGAGATTTTCAATCCTTTCCCTCCACCCACCCTCCACACTCATGTATGGCCCTGGTATATGTTGTTCCCTTCTTTGTGTCTATGTGTACTCAATGCTCAGCTCCCACTTATAAGTGAGAACACGCCGTGTTTGGTTTTCTGTTCTTGCATTACTTTGCTTAGGATAATGGCTTTCAGCTTCATCCATGTTGCTGCAAAGGACATGATCTCATTTTTTATGGCTGCATAGTATTCCACAGTGTATGTGTACTACATTTAAAAAAAATCCAATCTATTGATGAGGGGCATTTAGGTTGATTGATTCCATGTCTTTGCTATTGTGAACAGTGCTGTAATAAACATATGCATGTATGTGTCTATAGGGTAGAACAATTTGTAATAGTTACCCTTTGGATGGGAGAACCAGTAACAGAAGGGCTCGAGAAAGCAAGATCTGTGAAAAGGCAGGAATGGAGGTTGTGTCCGATGAGCAGTAACTTGGAAGGATGGAGAGCAGAGGACTGGAGACTGCAGAGGCAGCTGGAAGGAGGGCTGAGAAACAAATTCGGGCTTTCTCCCAAACTCTCCCAGTGGCACTCGGGAGGGATGGACCCAAGAAACGAAAGAATTCAGTGGAATCCATCTTTCAGCATAGAAAGGAAGTACAGCCAGGAGAAGGGGCATCCCTACATACGTGGGCAGTTGTCGTGGAACTGCTTCAACCTCTACTGCTGCAGAGAAAAAGAGGTGAGTTCTCCGTAAACACATCATCTCTTCAAATGTCCATCTGGTCATGGACACAATCCAGCTAGATTTTTCTGAGGAAAAGGAGCATCACATAATACAGAAATTGTTTTGTAATTGTTCTTTGCTGCCCTCGAATTTATCTTCCAGGGCAGTGAATGCTTGCCATATACTGAAGGCACCAGAGGGTCTTGCAAGGTGCTAGACAGCCTGAATTTGTGTCCTGGCTCCTCACTTATGAGCCGTGAGACTTCAGGTTAGTTATTACATCTCTGGGATCCTCTGTGCAACACCAGAAAATGAAGACTAGTAATACTGTATGGTTAAGTGATTCAATGAAACAGGAGGTAAAGCCTCTGATACAGTTGTTGGTGGGTTAAGCTTTATAAATGGAAGACTTCTCGGTCGGGCGCGGTGGCTCATGCCTGTAATACCACCACTTTGGGAGGTCAGGGTGGGCTGATCACTTGAGCGCATGAGTTCGAGACCAGCCTGGATAACATGGTGAAACCCCGTCTCTACTAAAAACAAAAAAATTAGCCAGGTATGGTGGCACACACCTGTAATGCCAGCTACTTGGCAGGCTGAGGCACGAGAATCGCTTGAACCTGGGAGGCAGAGGTTGCAGTGAGCTGAGATCGTGCTACTGCACTCCAACCTGAATGACAGAGTGAGACTCCATCTCAAAAAATAAAAATAAATAAATAAATAAAATAAAATAAATGGGAATCTTCTCTCCTGCTTCCTGCACACACTCACGGCTGAGGTCCCTGGGCATGCCGGCAAGGCGGCCACCACAAGGCATCCACTTGCGCCTGTGCCATTCCCTGTTTAAATATTTGAAATATCCCTTGTTGAATATATACGTTTTTATTTTACTATTAGGTTGTTCATCCCTTGAAGACAATATCAAAAGCTTTTTTCCTTTTCCTTCCTTTATTGAGTTTCCAAATCTGTCTTAGACTCTCCAACTGTGATGAAAATAAAGTGGTTCCTTAGTAGATAAAATGTTTAGTGGATCCATATTTGATGCCTATGGCTTTATTAGTCATCAGTTTTTCTTAGAAAAGCAAATCTGGCCAGAAAAAGACAGTCATTGTGATTCCTCTCAACAAGATGAGAGCAAAAGACCCTTAAAAACAAAGTGAATTCTACTGACGAAGAAGAAGGAGAAGTGGAGGAGGTGAAGAAAGAGATAAGATACAAAGCGGAAAAACCTCACCAATAGGAAAAACTGGGTAAGATACCGAGCAAAGAATTTTATACATGGCTAAGGGATTAAAAACTATTGTGAGATGAATAGGAAATTATGGAAATGAGAAAAAAACCCTACAATTTTATTTTGATTTCGATTGTTTTTTCAGGGACATGTTTTCTAAATTCTTTTTTTTTTTTTTTTTTTATGATTTCAAAGACAAACATCATGAGAACCTCAGGGCATTGCAGATTTTGACCCTACCCTTTCCTCTGCTACTGCTACAGCTGCCAATCACTTCTGTCCTTCAAGGAACCTCTGTGCTTTTCTAAGTGAAATGCATGTAGTGACTCATTTCATCCACACAATAGCCATACGAGGTGGGGACTGTTATGATTTCCACTTTAAGGGTGAAGAAATGGATGTACCAAGGAGTTGAAGACTTGTCCCAAGTCACACGGCTAACTGTAAACACAGATGCAGGATGCCACACACACAGGCTGGCTCTCAGGTCTATTTCCTAATCTCTGCCCTAGTAAGCAGATCTTCCATGAACAAGCAAAATTTTAAAACAATACCTAAGCTTATAAAGCAGAAACTCAGTCCTCTTGCCCTTGCCTCTCTCATTCCCATGCCCTAGAGGTAATCACTGGTAGCAGTTTACTAAGTAAATATTTGTTAGATGAATGGTTATGTTCTTCCAAAATGTGTTCTTTTGCAAAATGACATATGCATATTTTTAAACACTCACTGTGTGCCAGGCACTGCTCGCTGTGTGTATACATATTAATTCATTTAATCCTCACCAGGATCCTGTGAATTAAGAGACTATTATTTAGTCACCAGATGAGAAAATGAAGACACAGAAAGGTTCTGAGACTGGGCCAGTGTCACACAGCTCCTAGGAAGCCAGAGTTAAGACTTAAACCAAAGCCGTCTGATCCAAGATTTTACACCCAACCCTCCAATGTGTATTATGTGCTCTAGCTTGCTTTTTATTTTCATTAAACAATATATTGTGGACATCTTTCCTATTCAGTGCAAATAAATCTATATGTCACACACACTTTAAAAATAACCCCAAAACATAAAGAGACACTGTCCAGGATTCAGATGTTGGCACATTATGTCCTTGGCTAAAATAGGATTTCCAGGACAGGAAGGTGCATGAGACACTGTGTTTGCTGAAGACTCTTTTAAGTGAAATGTTGCAGAGCTCAGCATCAGTGAGGCCAATACAAATCTAAGATACTCTGAAAAAAAATAGCTAGTTTCTAGATTCATTTTTCCCCACTAGATCTATTATAATTTTCATAAAAAATTAAAGCTGCATGTCTCATTTTACCAGTGTCAAAGGAGCTAGTCATCAACCATCTGTCCCACATCATAAAACTGTGTAAAATCAAATAATTAATAAATATGCAAGGATTGCAATGAAGTTTAAGATGGATCAGGAGCTAAGGAAACAATTTTATTAAAACAATAAACTCCAAGGTCATGTTCAGATTTTGATTAAATCATAAAATGTAAATTAAATTCTTTAAACTTGGTACGCAAGAATAAAAGATGATTATTTCAATGAAAGTACCACCTATCTGTGAAAATGAAACAAGTACAGAAACTGCAAGAATCAAAATAAAATAATAATAAAATGTCTACTTTGGCACAGCCTATATAATTAAATATTGGAAAACAATGATCTCTTGTTTTGAATTTCCTGAAACCAAATGGAAACTAAAGCTCATGTCACTATTAATTCTGGCTCTACGGGATTAAAAACAACAGGCCAAAGGAATAAAGTTGAACCAGTCACACAAAACAGTGTGAATCCTTATTCTAAAACATGAGAGGAATATGACTGAAAAAACTAAATACCAAAAGTGTGTGTAAGCTAATAAAATTCTAAGCCTCTTACTTGACTGAACAGACCATCTCTTGGTCAAAGGGACCCTAGGGTGACCTTGAACACCGAGTTCTCGGCTGTGATGGGATAGATCAGACACACCTTGCTATACCCCCACCCTTAATAACTAGGATGAAGCTTTCTTCCCTTAAGGCTGACCAGAAACCAGCCCTTTCAAACTCCACTCTGATATCAACCAACCCCTGATGCTACCCCTCCTTCTTTGCCTGATAAGAGACCATCTGCCATGGAGTGGCTCTGGCCAGCCTATGGAGAATGTGCAGTGAGGGTTTTCGTGTCCTCTGCTTCACCCTTTGACAGTCAGAGGGCTGGAAACTCAACCTTCGGGTCATGCTAATGCTGCCATTTTTTGTACATGGGACCCAGGAAGGGGCATGAAGCTCAATTGTGCATGCATACATTTCTCCATTCCTAAATATTAATGATGCTTCCCATAGCTTATTAAATATGTATATTAGGCCACCCTACTCAGCAAAATTCCTGTTCCCTTTGTGTCTGTTTCTGCTTCTGACGGGAAGTTATGCTTCTTAGCCTGTCAGAATGGCCATCCTCAAGGTGCAACTCTTTATGGGAAATAAAGCTCTCCTTTCCAAACTCATGAACCTCGTCATTTTTCAGTTGGCATGTGAAAGCAATGCAAATGGAAAGATTTATTCAGAGGGAAAAAAAGAAATCATACTGAAATTTATTAATAAAAACAAAAATTAAGTGCAGGTTGAATGCTGAGGTTAGGTGTCTGGAATTATTTTTAGAAAACCCCATTGAATTGCACCTCCTCTGGGCGATAGAACTCTGGCTGCCTGGGGTGTGCATGAGGATCTCAGCATAGAAGGTCCCTTGCCCTGATAAGTTCAGATGTGTCATCTTTCCCCACCCACCTCTAGGCTTCCTGAGGACAAGAAAGGGGCACATATGCATATACAGGCAGTAAGTAGACAATTTAGAACCATGTACACCTGATTGCAAACTGTCCGCGTACACCTAGGTCACCAGTGCAGATGACTTCATCCTGTAAGGCTTGTCTTTCCCTTTGCTGGGATCTTATATGAAGGGTACATAATTCAGTGGCTGAGATGTAATGAAGTCCCTATCTGTGGTAAATATTATCAGTTGGATCTTACTGATGATAACATGCATCAAACACTTTATAGAATTACTATGTTGCAAAGGAATGGCCAAGCTTCTCCAAAGGAATTCTTTTTTGCAATTGCCAACTCCCAGATTCAAATGATTTAAAAATCTTTATGATGCTAGTGGAAGATTCAACATGTCTTATTGTGTTAATATTTGAAGTTGCACTGCACCATGTTGTACATAGCATATACAACATGCTATGAATGTTGCTGAATTGTGATATTTCAGGATGCACAATATGACCCAAAGTGTAAGTGACCCTATAATAATTGGTACTGCCCACCATATTTTGAGCACTTACTGTGGGTCCCTCAATATATGGCATATATATTCATTAGATTAAATCCTTATAATAATTCAGTAATTCAGACATTATTCTCAATATTGTATGTATGAGGACACTGATGCTCAGAGGGATTAAGAGGAAACTTGCTTGAGGAACATTTGACTAGTTAAGTAGCAGTACTAGGAAATGGACTGTGTATGCCAAACTCTAAAACTAAAACACACTCTCCATTTTTCTTTTTTTTTTTTTGAGATAGAGTCTCACTCTTGTTGCCCAGGCTGGAGTGCAATGGCATGATTTCGGCTCACCACAACCTCTGCCTCCTCTCCGCAACCTCACCTCCTGCAGCCTCACCGCAACCTCGGCCTCCCAGGTTCAAGCGATTCTCCTGCCTCAGCCTCCCGAGTAGCTGAAATTACAGGCATGCCCCACCAGGCCTGGCTAATCTTATACTTTTGGTAGAGACGGGGTTTCTCCATGTTGGTCAGGCTGGTCTCAAACTCCCGACCTCTCCTTGGCCTCCCAAAGTGCTGGGATTACAGGCGTGAGCCACCATGCCTGACTCTCCATTTGTTTAACTTACACTACTGTGGGGTCCTCTTGTGACTGGCATTAACCATGTGATTATTGTTATGTTCATACATTTCCAGTTCTACATTCAACACAGATTTGATTCCTCTTTACTCTGTGACAGATATACCAGAAACTGCCAAGACTAAAGGCCCTTTTGAAATGTACACTATACTCCTTGAGCCAAGCATTATCTTTCTCTCTCACCACCATCATTATGCCTGATGCTCTCTGGGAAGACTGTCATTTAAAATTGGTTAAATTTCTGATTGAGCTCATAAGCACAGCCTCAGCCCATCCCAGCCCAGGTGTGGCAGCCCAGGACTGACTGGCTGAAACATCATCTCTCCTGAACCACTGATAAAGTGAATGTGATACAGGAGGTAGAAAGAAATTATTTAGGCAGATAGTGTAAAAGAGTCCTTGGCAGAGCTTCCCTTTCAACAAAAAGCGGCCCAAGAAATCATTTTTTTTCTAATAAAAAGCAGCCTGAAAAATCGAGCTGCAAACATAGATAAGCAAGCTGGAAGCTTGTACAGGGGAACGCCGGCAGCTGTGCCAATAGAAAAGGGCTACCTAGGGGCCAGGCATGTCCAACACGGAGGCTCCATCTTCCCTGTTTGTGTTATCATGTGTACAGCAGAGGGATGGACAACATGGCACAGGTCAGGCAGAAAACCTACTTGCATAATAAAAGATTAGAGGGGGGGCTACCAGAAATTGACCCCTATGCAAATAGTGCACCTAGTCCTAGCCAGTTTTTCGTGCCCTAAGCAAATGGTACACCTGATCCAACCAATCTTCCGTGCTCTATGTAAATCAGACAACACCTCCTCACCAGGCATCTATAAACCCCCCTGCATTCCACTGTGGATCCGGTGATCCATTCCTCCAGGACCCCTCTCTCCAGCAGAGAGCTATTCTGTTTCTTACGCCTGTTAAACTTCCACTCTTTACTTCACTCTTTGTGTGTCTGCGTCCTTGACTTCCCTGGCCATGAGACAGTGAACCTTGGTTATCACCCCAGACAATGAGGCTGCTTCAGATGGACTGGAGTATAATTACCAGCCCACTATGGAGATGACAACGTACTTGGTTGTCCTCCGTTGCTGGCTTAGCTTGGTTACTCAGTCTGCATAAACCATGGGTAAGAGCCAAAAACAGAGGTGGACTGAGTCCTTTGAGTGGGTTTTACATGATAGAAGAAGTAGCGTTAAGATCCCTGCATTCCTTCCCTTAACACTGGCCAATTAGCAAACCTGGGTTTGGGACACTACTGATGAAACTTAATTGTTCAGGGAGGTTGATTAACATATTACTTGGTTTCTCCCCATGAAGGCATCGGGCAATTGCATCAGAATTGATGCAATGCTACATGATCCCACCTAATTCAGTCTATTTTTCATTGCCACTTTTTTTTTTTTTTTTTGAGACAGGGTCTCACTCTCTGGCCCAGGTTGGAGTGCAGTAGTGCGATCATGGCTCACTGCAACCTCAACCTCCTGGGCTGGGCCCAAGCAATCCTCCTGCCTCAGCCTCCTGAGTAGCTAGGACTACAGGTGTGTACCACCATGCCTGGCTAACCATAAAAATGTTTTTTGAGTGACAGGGTCTTGCTATGTTGCCCTTCTTCTTTTTTCTTTTTTCCTTTTTTTTTTGAGACAGAGTCTCTCGCTCAGGCTGGAGTGTGGAATGCAGTGGTGCAATCATGGCTCACTGCAGCCTCAACCTCCTCAGGCTCAGGTGACTCTCCTACCTCAGCCTCCCGGGTAGCTGGATCTACAGGTGTGCACCACCATGCCTGGCTACTTTTTTGCATTCTTTTTTTGTAGAGATGGGGTTTTGCCATGTTACTCAGGGTGGTCTTGAACTCCTGGGCTCAAGCAATCCTCCTGCCTTGGCGTCCCAAATTCATTGCCATTCTTACTGATATATGACTGTTGGTGTCAGAATGCATTTATCTCCAGAGATAAACACCACAATAACCATCAAGACCACGACTTAAACAAGCAACTCAACTATGCAACAAGGCTATGAAAGTAAAGGCCTTTTATAAGATTTGTATTTCAATATATTACAAATCAGGGACAGATACAAGCTTTGTGGAAACTGAAGCTTATACATTTTGCTGTGTTTCCTTTAACAAAATAAATACAAAATTATGAATATAAAACACCATTGCTCCACTATCCCTCGGGGGTCCCTTGAAGTTTCAGCTTTATTAGCTTCAGAATACATTTTCTGATTTCAATAAAAATATAGATGATCTGGGTATAGCTGAGAAACCGACACTTTAAAAAACTTGTATACTGAATGACTAACTAAAGATAGGCATATTCATATACTTAGAAGTAATGAAATGCTCTTCAAAAACATCTCAACAGATGCGAATAAAATGCTGGAAGTTCTGATGCTATGAAAAAGGAAATTCAACTTGCCCAGGTGTAACTTATTCCAACAAATCAAGTTTCTGAAGGTTTAATTAGCTTTCAAAGCTGTCTGAAGGCCTGGCACCATGGCTCACGCCTGTAATCCCAGCACTTTGGGAGGCTGAGGTGGGGGTGGCTAGGTCAGGCTGGGGGAAATCACTTGAGGTTAGGAGTTTGAAACCAGCCTGGCCAACATGGTGAAACCCCGTCTCTACTAGAAATACAAAAATTATCCATGCATGGTGGCGGGTGCCTATAATCCCACCTACTCAGGAGGGTGAGGCAGGAGAATCGCTTGAACCCAGGAGGTGGAGGTTGCAGTGAGCTGAGCTTGCCCCACTGCACTCCAGCCTGAGTGACAGAGTGAGACTCTGTATACCCCCGCCAAAAAAAAAAGCTTTTTGAGCACTCATGAGTTCCCATGACACACCATGAAATTATCACATTCAAAAAAGGAGAAAAGAAGAAGAAAGTGGATTCTCTCTGCTGGCAAGCTGGTATCAGCGCACACCCTATAAAGTAAAGGAGCCCAGCTGGAAACACGAGGAACATGAATGAATGCTGAGTCACACAAGCAGTTGTTTAAGGAAGACAAAGAGACAAATCAGGACAAATAAACATCATGGGAGGGTGGTGGAGGACAGAAACATTAATTTTTGTAAGAATGATAAAGAATAACAAAGAAAAGGTCGCTTTGATAAAATCACATATCAAAGGAACATTTATGGAGGGTTGTTCTCCAAGTATCTGGCAAAACGTGGTTCACAGAGAAACCCGGTAATGCTCTTTGGAACCGGGCTGGAACACAGCATACGTTGTGACAAATGGTACCATATCCAGCTGCAGGCAGGTGTCTACCACAGTTCCTGAAGGAATGTTAGATTTAGCTAACTTAAAATTCTTAATTAGAGATCTGGAAATGAATGTTAATGAAATTTTTACATGATATTAGATTTGCAGCTATTGTAAGCACAAGCAAACATATGGAAATCGATGGACTTGCCTACAATTATATGATTTATTTAAGGAAAACCTCTGACCAGATGTTACGCTCTCCATGGCCACTGAAAATAGAAGACACACAGAGGGATTAAGTTTAAACTGATTCCAGGAAATATTTAAATAAGATATGATAATAAGACAGAAGAGCTGGCCCTGAGAAAATGTTGCCATGGGAACGTCTATTTTTTTCTTCCCTGTGATATTTTAAATTAGAATCCATATCCGTCAGGGTTGGAAACCCTCAGTGCACATAACCCAAAGCAGTATCACTGGTCTTTGGCACCTCCTCCTCCCAAGGGGACTCTTCCTTGGTCGGTCATCCATGACTCAAGGTTTGCTTTTGTGCGCCTACAATTGCAGCCCAATACTTTCCTCTGTTGTTTCATCAAGGTTTGGGTACGAGAGAAAATGAGGTTCGACGCTCAGTTTCTGTCTCAACAACCATCCGGATTCATTCTTTTCTTCTCTACTTTCTCAAAAATATCACCACCATGTGCCTTTCACTGGCTGGAAGTTAAAAGCACATTTATAAGAAATTAGGAGAGCAGCTTATGTGGTATTAAATGTTTTAACAGAATGTGGTTGATCATTTAGACTAAAGACATAGCTACACCAACACTTAGAAATAGCTCCCAGCGTATTTTCATTACCCTTGCCCTCAACAAGCCAGTGAGGCATCAGAGAAAGGTTAATTCCCAAGTGACACATCAGACAAGGAGAATGACCTAGGATAAATATTTTCACCCAGTGCCCTGGGATCATTACCTATTCAGTTTAGTGTCACCTTCCGCTTATTAGAATGACCTAGTGGAGACTTGAAGGTTCCTTTAAGGATGGGACCTTGAAGGGGAAGGTCAGCGCAGGTGTTGAATTTAGGGAGGATTAATGGCTTGGTCGCTGTATATGGGAAGCACTGAGCAGGTGTGCCTGTGATCACAACACAATGAATGCGTCGCTGAAGTACACTTGCAGAAAGTCATTGTTTGGCAACAAAGTTATTACCCAATAAACTTACCTACAGGCAAAAAATATACTGAGGGCTTTAGCACAGAAACATGTTGTGATATTGCTCTCGGTACAAGAAGGAGCCCAAATATCTGTCAAAAAGCCGACTCACTTAATTAGATCACTATATACTTGACTCATCAATTTTCCAGACCAGTTGTCATCCAAGTGTGGTCCCTGGAACCCCAGCATCAAGCAGCAGCAACTGGTTACTTGTTAGACCTGCCCATTTTTGGACCGTACTCCGGACCTCCTGTCACTAAAACTCAGAGGGTGAGGCCCAGAAATCTATGTTTTAACAGGCCTTCCTTCCAGGTGATTCAGATGCACGCTAAAGTTTGAGAATGACAGTCCTAGAGGACTATCACATGTTTTCCATATCATCTGCTTGCAGAATCAAGAGACAATCATAGACTGGGTAGTTTGGAGGTAGTTCAGGTCAAGGATATCAATTATTTTTTATTCCTTTTAAGGCACCTGCTTGTTAAAATTTCTCCAATGAGCTCTAGAAAGTCTTTCCAAGCATTCCTCCTGGCCACCTTCCCAACTCCAATTCTTAGCAGTCCCAGATTCTAAACAGGCAGTCAGATTGTTGTAAGGTCTTTGCTGGTGAGAAGGGAGTCAAGGCCAGCGGCATGACTCATGTCGTCCATCTGTAAGGCATCCATTGGTGGGAGTGAACCATATTATGCTTGTTTTTTTACCAGCCACTTAACAAGAATTCGCTGTTTATCTTTCTTATGAATTCAGTCTCCTAAGGTTTTGAGGGATATTTTAAAAACTTTACGACTTTTTTAAATGAAGAGTAATATTTAACATCTACTAGTAAGCACCATACAACTGCTGAGTTTACCTGCCTGTATAGGCATGCACAGTTCAGTGAGAATAACTAAAAGATAAAAAGAAATTTCAAGATGTCTGTGGCGAGCCATTTTTCCTACCCTTTCCCACCCATGTTTATACAGCAGAGGTGAACCAAATCAGTCTCAAAAAAGCTTCGTTAAGGAGACTTTTAAGAAGTAGTTAGTGCAATCTTCAAGCATCAGTGTATTCATTTCCTGTATTTTCCATAATGAATGACCACAATCTGAATGGTTTAAAACAATAGAAATGGATTCTCTCACAGTTCTCCTGGCCAGAAGTCCAAAATCAAGGTGTTTCCAGGGCCACACTCCCTCCAGAGGCTCTAGGAGAGAATCCTTTCCTTGTCCCTTCCAGTTTCTAGTGGCTCTGGGCATTCCTTGACTTATAACTACATCAATTCAATCTCTGCCTCCATGGTTACACTGCCTACTTGTCTTCTCTCTTCTCTGTATGTCTTGTATGAGGACACCTGTTATTGGATTTCGGGCCCACATGAATAATCCAGGATGATCTCTTCCTCTCAAGCTCCTTAACTTAATTACATCTGCAAAGACTCTTTTTCCAAATTAGGTAACATTCACAGGTTCTGAGATTAGAATGTGGTCGTATCTTTTTGGGTGACCATCATTCAACCCACTATAGTCAGCATAACATAAAACATGCAAGTTTGGCTATTCTCTTGAGATCAGAACTGTTATCATCAAACTACAGCTGATGTGTGTGGGTGTTTGTTGGGGTTCTCTTTTCATACGATAAATATATTCCCTTTGGAACTCTAGGTCAGTGTGTTTTTTATTTGCATTAGAAAAATTTTAAGAGGAGAGATGCTCTTTCAAAAATACTTCAAAAGAAGATCAAGAGATTAGAGTAGGGGATAAATATAGACATAGATGTAAGAAGTGCTGCAGTAGACAGGAGACATTTTGTTCTTAGTTCCTTTACTTATGTTTATATTTCGTTTATTTATTCAGATGTTCAACAAATAAGAATTGACTGTGTGTGTATTTGTTCAAAGTAATGGTGGAACACAAACCAAGAACTAGACTTAGTGGGTTCAAAAACACATACTACTTTTGTGCCCCAAGGCTCAAACTAAGGCTCAATTTCTCTGCCTCAGTTTCCTCATCTATAAAACACAGAGTAATAAGAGTACCTAAGTGTGGGGTTGTAGGGAGGATCAAATAAATTTAGTAAGCAGTTAGAATGCTCAGCACATAGAGAGCAAGCAGTGTTTGCTAAATAAGTAATATAAACATGCCAGCCTCTGTGCTAGCTTTTAGGATGAACAAAATAAATGGAAGAGTGCATTACACTAGAAAAAGCTTCAAAAAGCATGGATGGACCTAACTGAAGTGCTGCAAATGAAATGAATGAGGGGCATAGTTGGAGATGAAGGGTGTGTAACTGGGAGGCCCTATCTTAGATAATGTGGGGAAGAGATGCCTCTAATGAGGCGGCATTTAACCTGAACACTAAAGAATAAATAAGTGATGGAGGAACATCACGGCTGAGAGATGTTGTTTCTTGATAAATCAGGTTGTTTTACCGTTTACGATGATGAGTCAAGGGTCAGGGTCATTTATCCCACTGAGTGAGTGATTAAATGTTGTTGTGTGTGTTTCAATAGAATCTAGACAAGAGGGGGTGGAAATAGGCAGAAAATTCTCCTGAACTATAAAGAAATATCCCATGCAGAGGAAAACACTTAGATATGTATTTCTTAACCTACTGGAGCAAGAGGATCCTCAAATCATCTTGAAGAGATGCCTTTCTCTGCGAAGAGCCGCCCCTGGGCTGATGAGTCTCCAGGAGTATAAATCACCCTCAATGTCAATTTCACTTCTTCATAGGTTTATTGAACACCCACTGCGTGCTGGGCAGCCAGTGTGCCCTGCCTTAGGGGCTGCAGAGACTCTGCTTTCTAGCAGCTCAGGGCCTGTGACAAAACACTAGGTCACGTGGCCTTGTAGTAGCACACACATATGATATTCTAAAGATATGTCCATTGCAGATTATAATAATTTAGTATAGATTAGTTTTTCCTTCAATTTTAGTATAGATTAGATTTCCCTTCTTAATGCATCCATGCCAGTTAGCAATTGTGCCATTCACATCTTTTCCTAAATCTCCATGAAGAGTGATGTCAAAAACCTTAGGCAACTTCCTGCATCTCTCTGTTATCTCTCTGTACCTAAGTGGTAAAACGGAGGTTGATAACAGCACCTATCTCATAGGATTGTGCGGGGATTAAAAGACGTTAAAAGTATTCAGAATACATTAAAATACATATATTTTGAACAGTGTCTAGTACATGGGAAGGACTCAATATGAGTTAAATGAATATTGCTATTATTATTAGTATCACTAGGAAACCTCTTAAATCAAAACAAAATAAAAGCAAATAAAACTAACAATCACCTGCACGCCAGAGAGGCACCACTACGAATTAGCATATGATTTAGGGCAAGTGGTTGTTCTCTTTAGGCCTCAGTTTTCCTCACGGTTAAAATGAGTACATTGGGCTGGGGCGGTGGCTCACACCTGTAATCCCAGCACTTTGGGAGGCTGAGGCAGGCAGACCACCTGAGTTCAGGAGTTCGAGACCAGCCTGGCCAACAAGGCGAAACCCCATCTCTACTAAAAAAATACAAAAATTAGCGGGGCATGGTGGCGGGTGCCTGTAATCCCAGCTACTCAGGAGGCTGAGGCAGGAGAATTGCTTGAACCCGGGAGGAGGAGGTTGCAGTGAGCCAAGATGGCACCACTGCACTCCAGCCTGGGCGACAAGAGCGAGACTCCATCTCAAAAAAAACAAAAAAGAATACATTGAAGGTAATGAGTTGTCCTCCAGTTGTAAATCTGTAGAACTCTATATATCTAAATACCTCAGTGCTTATGTTGATCTGGGACTTATCAAAATGGTCCTGTTTGTCCCTGTTTGCAGGGAAAGAACCACAAAAGGGTAGAAATTAAAGGGGCTGGGGGCTTTGCTGACAAGGTTTTCTTCCTTTGGTGAAACTCAAGCTCAAAGAACTTACTTTAAATAGTTATTCAAAGGGCATAGGAAGCAGATGGCTGAGTGTGGGTTCCAAGTCCCTGGCTTGGGAAAGAACCCTGGTACAATTAAGGTAAAATCTGGAGATTCGGATGTTTTTCCGATTGATTTATGACATAGGAAGCTTTGATGAAAATCTGATTGAGAGAAGTGGTGAGGTAATCAATGATTACCTGAATGATAACCCAGGTACATGTGTGGATGGAGCCCCAATCAACTCGCCATTTTGTTTTCTTCTTTCCCAATTTATTTCATTTTTTTTTCCTTTCCCTTTCTTTTCCCCTCACCCACTTTCTCTTGTGAGGCCAGCTGGTGGCAGCTCACGCAACAGGCACTAACTCCTTTCTGGTTCAGGGATTGTATTCTTTTTTTTTTTTTTTTTTTTTTTTGAGACGGAGTCTCACTCTGTCGCCCAGGCTGGAGTGCAGGGGCGGGATCTCGGCTCACTGCAAGCTCCGCCTCCCGGGTTCACGCCATTCTCCTGCCTCAGCCTCCCGAGAAGCTGGGACTACAGGCGCCCACCACCACGCCCGGCTAATTTTTTGTATTTTTTGTAGAGACGGGGTTTCACCGTGTTAGCCAGGATGGTCTCGATCTCCTGACCTCGTGATCCGCCCACCTCGGTCTCCCAAAGTGCTGGGATGACAGGCGTGAGCCACCGCGCCCGGCCCAGGGGTTGTATTCTTTTACTTAGCACTTGCCTGCTGTCTTTATTACTATCTTGCCCCCAGCCTCCTCAGCTGAAAACCAAGATTGCTGCTGTTTCTTCTTCTAAACTTGAAACCGAAGGCTAACCTGATTAGGCCTGCCAAACGTAAATGGCCTCGCTTGCTTTTAGTTGCTTGCTTCTAGTTGATTTTAAAACCTACATGGCTGGCTGGGCACGGTGGCTCACAGCTATAATTGCAGCACTTTGAGAGGCTGAGGTGGGAGGATCACTTGTAGGCCAGGAGTTTGAGACCAGCCTGAGCAACAAAGCAAGACCCCTGTCTCTACAATAAAAATAAAAATAATTAGCTAGGCATGGTGGTGTGCACCTATAGTCCGAGCTACTCAGGAGGCTGAGGAGGATGACTTTGGCCCAGGAGTTAGCGGCCTCAGTGAATTATCTTCATGCTGCTGCATGCCAGCCTGGGCAACATAGTGAGACTCTGTCTCTAAAACAAAACCAAACAAACCTCCACATAGCTAAAGTTGCATGGCCAAATAATATATAACTAAACTTCACAAGCTTCTATATAGATAATATCTCTGATTATAGGTTATCATGGTAATGGCCGCTTAAGTTGTATTTTCAGGAACTTGGGGTCAGCTCTCATCCAGGTCAAGCCAGCTGAGACCAGCGACCCTCCAACTGGGACTGTGTGACTGCTCCATGGATGACCTTTGGGTATCACAGGGCCAAAACCCCATCATCAGATCATGCTAATAATTCCATTTTGTAAACATGAGTCCTATGAAGAGCCACAAGGCTTGACTACACTTGCTCAGATCACCAGTTCCCACACTTTCCTTACCCCCTTCTCTATGCCTCGGATTGCCTTGTTCTTTTATCCCATGAATGTCCCTCAACCCTGTCTTTGGAGAGTTGGGTTTGGGATCTCTTCTCCTGTCTTCTTGCTTTGCTGCCTCGTGAATAAACCCTTTCTTTGCTGCAAACCTCATCACAGTGATTGGCATACTGTGTGACAGGCAGAACAAGCCTGGCTGGGTAACAAACTCACTGGAATATCATATACATTAATAGCAACAAACAGATGTTTGAAATTATCATTATAGTTTCATGGTCCTCAGAAAGAGATTTAACCTTAACTATGTCCAGTGTCATTGTAGCTGGGGAGGGAGAGACTTCTATTGCAGCAGAGCAACCAGCTGTGTGTGACCGTGGAGGGACCATGTGGTTGACTGGCTTTGTTCTGGATCAGCAAGTACTTCTCTAAGGGGACTGGAGAGACAAGAAGGAAGAGGGCATTTCTCTCTCCTCTCTTGCTTTCATTGCTGCCGGATTCTGCACACTGGGCGCTGCCAGGCTGTGGCTGCTCACGCCTGTGGGGAAAACAGTGCCCTGTGTCTGGTCCAGCCAGTTCACCCGGGAGCCTGATGTTCAATTTGATGATTCATGGCTTCCTTGCCTGGGGAATTTTCAGATTGAAAGAAAGACACCTGACAGATTTATGGATGTTTTAATAAACACAGGCAAGGCAAAGTTGGCTTCTGAGCTAACACATGGATATAAATACCAGACTGATAAAACCTGGAAAGCACAGGCCGTTCTAATGATCCGCAGAGGCTGCTTTGGCTGTGCTGTTTCAGGTGGTGCTTCGCAGGGTGGGCCAGCAGCAGCAGAATCTCCTGGGAGCCTCACAGAAATGCACAAGCTGGGTGCGTTGGCTCACACCCGTAATCCCAGCACTTTGGGAAACTGGGGTGAGAGGACTGTTTGAGCCCAGGAGTTTGAGGCTGCAGTGAACTATGATCAGGCCATTGCACTCCAGCCTGGGCAACACAGTGAGACCCTGTCTTAAGAAAAAAATGGAAATGCACATTCTTGGGCCCCATCCTAGACCTGCTGACTTGGAAATTCTGGGGGTGATACCCAGCAATCAGTGCTTAGACCAGTTCTCCAGGCAATCCTGAGGCAAACTTAAATTTGAAAACCCCTGACGTAAAGGAGTTTGGATTCATTCTCTCTGTTGTACCTCTGCACTTGCCACTGTAGACCTGTAAAGTCCTGTCTTACCCTCCATGGCCACCTGGTCAACCCCAGCGAGATGCTGCTGGAGCCCTTCCTCCTCAGGCTGAATTAGGGGTGTCCCATCTAGGCAGTTACAGAGTGACCAGCATGTACCCTCACGTGGCAATGAGTAAACTGACCTGTATTTTAACTATCTGATTCTCACCTCCCTTAACACCTGTAATCATCTGAGGGCAGAAGCCTGGTCTTAATCATCCCCTTTGCCCTCATGTCCGACAAGCTACCTGGCCCAGAGTCAGTGCATGGATATATAGGGCATATATATGGTATATATGGTGAGGGAGAAAGAAGAGAGATTTCATTAAAAAAAAAAAATTTAAAATACTGAGAAGATAGTCATTACTGTATATAGCCGGGATCTCCAAGATGCAGGCCACAGACATGTACCAGTCTGTGGCCTGTTAGGAACTGGGCCACACACTAGGAGATGAGTATGGGCCAGCAAGCGAAGCCTCATCGGTATTTACAGCTGCTCCCCATTACTCTCATGACTGCCTGAGCTCTGCCTCTTGTCAGATCAGCAGCAGCATTGGATTTTCATAGGAGCACAAACCCTATTGTGAACTGCATTTGCGAAGGATCTAGCTTGTGTGCTCCTTATAAGAATCTAATGCCTAATGATCTGTCACTGTCTTGCATCACCCCCAGATGGGACCATCTAGTGGCAGGAAAATAAGCCCAGGGCTCCCACTGCTTCTACATTATGGTGAATTGTATAATTATTTCATTATATATTATAATGTAATAATAATAGAAATAAACACTTTGGGAGGCCGAAGCGGGTGGATTACAAGGTCAGGAGATCGAGACCATCCTGGCTAACATGGTGAAACCCTGTCTCTACTAAAAATACAAAAAATTAGCCGGGTGTGGTGGCACGCACCTGTAGTCCCAGCTACTCGGGAGGCTGAGGCAGGAGAATGGCATGAACCTGGGAGGCAGAGCTTGCAGTGAGCTGAGATCGCACCACTGCACTCCAGCCTGGGCGATAGAGCGAGACTCTGTCTCATTAAAAAAAAAAAAAAAGAAAGAAATAAAGTGCACAATAAATGTAATGCACTTGAATCATCCAGAAACCACCCCCTCCTCTCCTCCCCATCACAGAAAAATTGTCGTCCACAAAACTGGTCCCTGGTGCCAAAAGGGGACTGCTGGATATGGCATTATCTGTAGAAAGAAAAAAAAAATCTGAATATTTCCCCTCATGAGAAGAAGCATGAAGCAGCCCATTGACACCTGGGTTTGAATTCTTTCACAGAGCTGTACGGCCTTAAGAAATTCAATTCACCTTTCTTAGCCTCAGTCTCTGCATCTATAAAATGGAGATATTACTTTCTGCAGCAGTTTTGAAAGTTATAAATAATATATAGCAGTATCTGGCATGTAACAGGTGTTAACTAAAAGGAAACTGACATTATTATTCACCAGTTAGGGTTTATTCACCACGTAGTTGAAAGCCATTCATTTTATTCTCTCCTTTCTTTTTTTTTTTATTTTTATAGAAATGGGGTCTTGCTATGTTGACCAGGCAGGCCTTGAACTTCTGGCCTCAAGTGATCCACCTGCCTCAGCCTCCCTATTAGCTGGGACTACAGGCATGTGCCACTGCCATTTTATGCTTTTAAAAAATAAAACTGTGGCTCCCCTGAAGCCCCTAACTTCCTATAGAATTTTAAAGAAAAATGCCTTGATATTTCAAAATAAAAAAACTTTCAATTAGTTTCCAAAGGGATGATTCACTAGAATTTAAATTACCTATGAGTACCTTTTATAGATTAAAATTGCAAGCAAACAGGATGACTCTGTGTGTGTATGTCTGGGTTTCAGAAAAAGAGAGAGATGGGGCATTTTTAACCTAAATTTGCTTATTTTCTGTAAGTCTTTTCTAACTCAGAGATTTTTCCAGACATTTTGCACTTGCTGTCTCTGTTGAAGATACCAACTATGATTCATAGAAGGTGAAAACAAAATGACATTTATGTCTTTTCCTGAGAGTTGTTCAATAAGTAGATGACTTCTTGCAAATGTGCCTGCTTTGATGAAACCCCAAGCTAAGCAAATAAGAGTAAGGGTCATGAAGTGAGTGCTGAGTAAACACTAGGGAACTGATTGTCAGCCTAACCCAAAGAGAGAGACATATATATAGCATACCCCAAAGGCCGAGTAACCTCAATTGGCTTCCTACTTTCTGCTGTTTATTCCTGCCCTTCTGAGGCATGTGATTGACCAGAACAGGACAGATGGCATCCTCTGTCCCAGGAATGCATATCTGGGACTGAACGGCAGTCAGTGCATCCCATGGTGGAGGCTGGTCTCATGCACAGTGGAGATGTATATCTATGAATGTCATCTTCCACTCACCATTTATATAGAGACATAGAGAGAGTTGGTTTGCAGAGGAAACTGAGGCACAGCTGAAGACACAGAACTGCTAGGATCCTAATGGCTTTCCACGTTCCAGTTAGGGCCTTCCATAAGCCTGGCTCTCTTCTTGCCCTCGGATTGCCTGAGATACCTCGCTATCATGTCACCAATCCGCCCTTTTGCTTACACTACCTCCAGCTGGTTTCCAAAACTGATATAAGCCATAGCAATGTTGTGTTAACAATAAATGCATACCAATAATTTAATATTCAGAAACAAGATCAATATGAAGGGAGTGGACTATGTCTGTGTATAATTAATTGTTCAGTTATATAAGAAGATGTCTTAAAATGAAGCTGGCTATTCAAATAATTCCTATAGAATGGGCTAATACTACTAAGATCTGAACGAGAGATTAAACTGGACCAACGAGCTGAACATATTTGCCACTTTCGGGTTTTGAATGAGAAACAAAAGTGAGTTCTTTAGCACGTCACCAGTGGGAAAGGTATGGCAATCAGCTTTTTTGATGCTCTCACCTCCACAATTCAAGGATTGAGGTGTAGTCTATTATAAGGGATGCTATTTCCTTCTCCTACAACATTTCATAAAACTACCTTTAAGGGGGGAAGCTGGAGTGGCAATAAGTGCTCTGATCTGGGAATGGGGGAGCAATTCAATGTAAATTGCTGCCTTTTAATTCATTTGATATTGCCTTGGAAGAAATGATAGGAGAGACCACAGGAAACATTATGCAGAAAAACAATAACTCTCACTTAATTTTGACCAGTTGCTACTCATTACCCCAACATGCTAAATCGAACACCAGTATTGAAGACCAACAATGTGGGGCAAAATGAATGCAAAGCGACCATGGCTACATGATACTGTCTTGAGATACGTAAATCGTTGTCAATACAAGACCCAGTTCAGTTAGGTCTCCATTGTGACATGATTCCATGGAGCAGGGTTGGCCTTGGAGCAAATCTGGCTATGCCTTATTTTGTGCAGCCTGTGAGCTGAGAATGGTTTTTGTGTAGAAATATAAAGACGATTGAGAATAAAACCAGAAGAATAACATTTTGTGACACATGTTAAGCACATAAAATTCAAATTTCCATATCCATACACATAAAGTTTACTGGGACACAATAAACTTTGTTTATGTGTTGTCTGTGGTTGTCTTTGTACTACAACAGAGTCGAATAGTCCCAACAGAGACCTTGCGATGGCAAAGCCTAAAATATTTGCTCTCAGGCCCTTAACAGAAGAACAGTTGCCACCTCTCTGCCATAGAATCTTAGCTCTCTGTGTAACCCCCATCTGCTCTCAAGCCTCATGGGTCCTGAAGGACAGAATTCATGTCTGTTGTATTAGTGCTGTTTCTGTAACAGGCAACACAAAGCTTTAAATAAAGCTGGCGTTAATATACATTTGTCAAATGACTGAATCATCAACAACTACCTTTTGGGCATTTTGCTAGTCACACAGATACAAAGATACATTGGGTTGGTGCAAAAGTAATTGCGTTTTTTGCCATTTAAAAGTAATGGCGGCTGGGTGCGGTGGCTCATGACTGTAATCCCAGCACTTTGGGAGGCTGAGGTGGGCGGATCACCTGAGGCTGAGAGTTCGAGACCAGCCTGACCAAAATGGAGAAACCCCGTCTCTACTAAAAAATACAAAATTAGCCCGGCGTGGTCGTGCATGCCTGTCATCCCAGCCACTCGGGAGGCTGAGGCGGGACAGTCTCTTGAACCTGGGAGGTGGAGGTTGCAGCGAGCCGAGATCACGCCATTGCACTCCAGCCTGGGCAACAAGAGCAAGTCTCCATCGCAAAATAAAAAAAAAAAAAGTAATGCCAAAAACCCCAATTACTTTTGCACCAACCTGGTAACAGACTGACATTGCCCTTAGGTTTAAATTTAACTAAGACCATTGAATGTGTGTGTGTGCTCTAAATGGATACATGTACATATACGGCTTTCCTTCATTATCATCAGGGATCGGATCCACAACCCCTGCAGATACCAAAATCCTCAAATACTCACTCAAGTCCCACAGTTGGCCCCATGGAACCTGTGATTATGAAAAGTTGGTCCTTTGTTTACACAGGTTTCACATCCCTCAAATACTGGATTTTCCATTTGCGTTTGGCTGAAAAAAATCTGCATATTAAGTGGACTTGCACAGTTCAAACCTGTGTTGTTCGAGGGTCAACTGTGTATATATATATATATATATATATATATATATATATATATATACTGTGTATATAGATATATATAGGTCTTGCTATATATATATTAGAATATATATATATTCTAAAACTAAACTAAAGCTGCAAGGAAGTTATGCAAAGGAAGCCCATACATAGTAAAGTTCAAACTGAGTTCAAATGGACTGAGTTCAAAACCATTCCATCTGAGTGCTGGTACCTTTGGCAGGCCACTTGTCCTCCTGAGCCTCAGTTTCCTCAGCTACAAAGTGGGGATAAACCCTACTCTTCAGGTTCCTATAAGGATAACAAAGGATGATGTATGTAAAATTTCTAGTCCAAGGCTAAGCACACGAAATCCATGAAATCCATGACAGTCCTCATGAGTGAAGAGTTCAGTGGATGCTGTGGAGAGAAACTCCGATGAGAGGAGCAGGTAGGCAGAGTTAGGAGGAGAGGGGGGACTTCAGCTGGGCTGGTAAGAACCAGTTCTTGGATCCCAAAGCAAAAGCAAGTATCAGGAGGTGCTCAAGATATGCAGAGGAAAACGAGGCAAGTATGGCAGCAGGGAGGATTCCTGCAGGGGGAACCATGAGAAGGACCAGAGAGGCAGAGAAACGCAAACCAGGCAGTGTCTGGTTTCAGAGTTTTGACTGTCACCTGAAAATAACAAGAGATCTGCTAAAGGTTTTTCAACAGACAGTGATAGGTGCAAAGTAGCATGTAGAAGCAGAAAACCAAACACTGCATGTTCTCACTTGTAAATGGGAGTTGAACAATGAGAACACATGGACATAGGGAGGGGAACATCACACACTGGGGCCTGTCAGGGGGTGGGTGGCTAGGGGAGGGATAGCATTAGGAGAAATACCTAATGTAGATGATGGGTTGATGGGTGCAGCAAACCATCATGGCATGTGTATAAAAACTTGCACGTTCTCCACATGTACCCCAGAACTTAAAGTATAATAAAAATAAATAAAAAAAAAGAGAAAGTTTCCCTTTGCATTATCATGTTCCCTGTGTGGGAATTCAGGAAGCAAAGGTAGGGTTTATTCCCACTTTGTAGCTGAGGAAACTGAGGCTCAGGAGGACAAGTGACCTGCCAAAGGTACCAGCACTTATATGGAATGGTTATGAACTCAGTCTGTTTGAATACCCTGGATGTGTTCAGATAGACACAGTACATGATAAATGCCCTGGGTGTGTTCAGATAGACACACTACATCCCAACTGTACACACTGGCACAGTCATGATTTGCAAAATGACTTGGGGATCCCATGAATAGCTGTGCTTCCCTAGCAATTTCTGTATTGGGGTCATTTCAAAAGTACACTCGAGAGACAACTTCTTCTGGTCCTGGATTCTGCATGCAATTTAGGAAGAAAAAAAAAATACAAACTGGAGGGCTGTTCTGCCAAACTTTTCAGCTGAACAAGAGAAACTCAGACTAAAACACTGTTTTTTTGTGCAGGTGGCTTTATGCTCTGAGGGATTGAGAGCCTGCTGATTTTTGAGGTCTGTTCATGACATCTATCACAGCATGTATATTACTTGAAAAAACATATCCATAATGCTAAAAATACTCTGCAGTCTCACTTGACTGCAGGCTGTCAGAATGTTACATTCGGATTTTTCTACTTCCTGCTGATATTTGGACATTTTCATAAGTATAATGTTTACCCTTATTTTGTTTTTCCCTATAAAAGTAGACTGCAGATGAATAAGGCTTAAGGAAGCCTGCCTCAGGGAAGGATTTGTGTTGTATCCTGTCATTTCTCAGATGTTCTGGATAGATAATTTTGCTCAGTTGCTCTTCTGTGGTGCTGATTTCGGGTTGGGGCCGTCCCACACAAGGTGGGTGTTTAGTTCTCTTTGGGAGGAGTCCTACTTTTCAGGATAGCTACTCCTCTTTCTGGTCTAGACCAGGTCCACAGGTCTGTTGGGTATAATTGCTGCTACGATTGGTCACAGAAGGTCTGAGCTGAAAGATAGCTCTGGGATATTAAAGTTCATCACCTCATTTTATAGAGATGAAAACTAAGGCCTTTCGGGTTTCAGTCTAAAACTAAAAAGGTAGCAATGTGACCAAGGTGAGATCTTCTGACTTACAAAGAATTTATATTTTGCTCACACCACACTGCCATCTTTCTAAACACACAAGTCTTGCCTTGGCCTTGTGTTTAACAAACAGCTCCAAGTCAGAGAGGGCTGGTGACACAGGCCTCACCTACCTTTCACCTGCAGATCCCCAAGAGACCAGTGGCTAGTGTGGGGTGAGGTGTGTTAGCTTTCTTACAAAGTTTATTCGAACAATGACGGGCCAATTATTTTTCATTTCTATTTCCAGAATTCAATCAACACAACTGTCTAAATTACTGAGAAGTAGAGAGGCTGTGTGTAAATTGGGCATGTTTGTGGTGGAAGAACTTTTTTCATTCTTGAACCCCAGCTAAAAATTTCAGTGCGCCTCTCGTATTTGGCTACTCTTTGGGAATGTCAGCTTTTCCTTACGAGGAAAGGAGAAACTATCCCAGGTTAAGAGATTTTTATCAGGTCTAAGGCAGTAATCATTAGCACTCCAAAATCCTTTTTAGGTTGGGTAGCTCAGGGAACCATATCATGTAAACTGCATGTACCTATACAAAATATGACGACAGAGACATATTGCAAATGAACTAACAAAAAAACAGAGGGAAGAAGAAACAGGTCACTCATCATGTGTTATGACTGACGTTTACTATGGTACTTATTTCCATTGAAACTGTACATAAGACATAGAAAATAATATGGCAGCCAGGGGTGGTGGCTCATGCCTGTAATCCCAGCACTTTGGGAGGCTGAGGCGGGCAGATGACAACGTCAAGAGATCGAGATCATCCTGGCCAACACAGTGAAACCTCGTCTCTACTAAAAATACAAAAATTAGCTGGGCATGCTGGCGCATGCCTGTAGTCCCAGCTACTCAGGAGGCTGAGGCAGCAGAATCACTTGAACCCAGGAAGCAGAGGTTGCAGTGAGCCGAAATCGCACCACTCTATTCCAGCCTCGCAACAGAGCGAGACTCCATCTCAAAAAATAATATAATAATAATATGGCAATCCTATACCCTATACCCTATACACAGGATATAGTGCATCCTGCCATCTTGCAACCTAAGAAATCCTCTTTCTAGATAACATTATATATTTAAATACATTCTAGTATGAGCCCAACTGTCTACTTTTCTTGAACGTCTTCTGTCGCTAGTTTGGAGTGATTCCACAACCCTAACTCACAGAGCCCGCAGGGAACACGTCTCAAAGCGAGGACACTGTTGGGATGGGTCAGGAAGAGCAGCACGTCCCCGCCAGTCTGGGTGACGCCAGGAGAAGTAAAGCACAAAATCGCCTCTGTAGTTTATCGTTTTTTTAATCCCTGCTAGTTTGAAGTGAATCTGGCTTTCAGGTATGCCTTAGGCGAAAACTAATGAATGTCATTTGAGTCAAAAAGAGGATAAACACACCCAGCACCTGTGATCACTCACCTATTTAATACACCAGTGAGAATGTTTGAAAAGCATGATCTCCTTAGAGCACTTCTGTTTTTGACAGATTTTAATATGAAGGAAGGTGGCTAACGAGAGCCTCAGCTATTCCATGAATACAAGCATAACCTCAGAGTGAATGCCCAGCACGGAACATAGAGGAGGTACTTTTGTTTCCTTCACAGAACACCAGGTGAAGTTTTGGGGGAAAATACCCAAAGAACAAAGGAATGAACAATAAAACCAACCCACAAAGCTCTGAACTGCTCACCTGTGAGACTGAGCCACCTTGTCAGCAGATCCATTTGATGTCTGGATTGCTGGCCTGTCTAGCGCTCCCGGGAAGGGGTGGGTTGAATGTCTGGCATGTCGCTAACACTCAACAAACATTAATCCTTATCGTATGACTTAATTGAAGGCCTGCACAGGAAACTAACAGACAAGGTTTCATCTGTCCTCGCTGCCTGGAAGGGTTATTTCTACTTATCTGGACAACTGTTACCCACCTGGGGAGATGGACAGGCTGGCTCAGCGCTTGCCTTCTGCCTCTCTTAACTTCCCTGTGTGACCCTACAGAGATGTGACTTGCTCTGTTTCCTTGTCAGCATTGCATAAAATGCCTATTCTTTCCCTCTTTAGATAATAAACTCCTTGTGTGCAGAGACTGTGCCATTTACACACTAGGAACCTTCCCAGGGGCACCTCAAAGAATGTGCCTTAACCTTATTTAGCTTCAAGGACCCAGGAATGACTCATAAGAATTGCAGAACGGTCCCCAAACATAAAGGACATAATACAGTAGAAACAACAAACACAAAATGACCTGTTTGGGAGAGAAGACAGTGTACCCCAAACCACATATCAATGAGTTGAAAGTAACTCCAAATGATCACTCCCTTTGTAGATTCTTCTTTCCCCAGTGCCTGAAACCCCTGCCACTCTATGCCACTCTATCAGTCAAATGAATACTCCATCGATAAGTATTTACCAAACACCCACGAAGAACCAGGCATAAAAAGAAATTTAGACGCAGCTTCTCCCTACAGGAGTTCACATTTTGGGCAAATAAAGACATATGCACATAAAAAGATAATACTTAATCAGGGGCAATTAATACAGTAATAAGTACACATTATAAGCTCTGGGGGGGTCAGAGGAAGAAAGGAAGTCTTGGGGATCCATGGCTGAGGGCTGGGGATGTGCTCATTCCAGAGGGTGTGATCTGTGACTCCAGGCTGGGCCACGCCACAGGGGACTTTGACTCCTGTGGCTGATTCTGTAGCCCAGGCAGAGACCACTTTAAGGCTTACCTCCACCAGGGAAGCTGTAGGCCACAGGGTGAACAAATTCAATGTCCACCTAATTGCCTGACTACTATGTTCCAAGCTTACAAGGCTGTTCTTTGACTATGGGTTCTTTTCAGATGGAGAGATTAAAGCTGGAAGTGGGAAACCATTCTTGGATTGTTCTCAGGGCTTTGACTTGCCTTCCTTCATCATTTTAGGGCTCAAGTGGATCCTAATTCTTGACTCTGTCTTCCTCCAAGAACTCCTGATGCCTTCAGTTTGTACCATATGGTTCCTTTTAGTGCACGCTGCTGGGTGTCCTGCCCAGGTGCGCTCCCCACCTTCACCTGCTGTTTTGGGGCTGGGAACTCACAGCTGCTCCCCTAGGTCCCTGTTTCAGCGTGGGGCAAACTCTGGCATGCAGTTTGGGGTGCAGGGTTTCTAGGCGTCAGGCAGAAAGCTAGGCTGCAGCCAACCTTCATCTTACTCAGCTCCTAAGAGTACACTCCCAGTATTCACTGGTACAGGAATCCCCACCCCAGGCTCTCCTTGTAAGGACCTTGACCTTGAGGCTTAAAAAGCTATTTCACAGCTGTATTTATTTCACGTGAAGCAGACTATTATCCATATTTTATCAATCTTGAAACCGGGGCTCAAAGACATGAAAGTTACATGGTCAGTTAATGAAAGCAGTGCCTACTACAAGCCAAGGCTCCGTTCTCATTCTCAGAATTCATCATTCTTTCATTAATTCATGTGCTTCTCAGGCAGGTTTGAGATTGGACTGAAGGATCAGGGTCCTTTCGCTGATTTATGGCTGAATGTAGTGGGAGAGAAGCACTGTGTCTTCTTTATTCAGCTGGGCAGGACGGGAGCTGAAGGGGGATGTGACTACCTAGCATGGCTTGAGAACAGATTTGAGAACTCCCTAGCCAGGGCTGGCGGATGGGCTTGAAGCTCTGGGTGAGAGAAACAGCTTAAAGTTTATAGTAGTGGTCTTTGCCTGGGGCTACTTATTTTGAGATATCTGTATCTGTCTCAGTCATCATCAAAGGTCAGGAGAGCCACTTAGAGACTGAGAGAAGGGAAAAAAGAGAGGGAGAAAGAAGGAATGAGAACCACGGGAAAAGGACCTCTGTGTGGTCCCTGGGTGGCAGTCCAGCTACACCATGTGAACGAGTAAATGTGCTATTTAGTGACAGCTGTAAAATCAACATGCCCAGTGGAGATTTGTACTAGAGTACCCTGATGCAGCATTGTCACCGAAGGTCACGAGAGGCCACTCACGGCATCACGCCGCAGGAGTTCCCTTCTGTTCTCTGAAAGCACCCAAGGGTGTTGCTGAGCATTAATGTCTCACCCACACAATAGTACCTTCCTGTGAATGACTTCAGAGTTTCGCCTTTCTTTCTTTACAGTGTGTGCGATTCAAGGAGGGAGCAATAATTAAGTGTTTGGTGCTGGGTGCCACGGGCACACTTGCAGTGGGCTTTGGTCCCGTTTTATGCTCCTCCTTGGCTTGCCTGTGACTGGCTAAACACAGGACAAATGAGGGCAGGCTCCTCCGAAGCGTATGTGAAACAACACTGATACTGATCATCAGGAGAAATCTGGTGCCTGTCACTTCCGGGGACTGGGGTTGTTGCCAGTTACATACTCAGTCCAAGGCTGCCTTTGGAGGGGAGATGGAAGGTAAACTAGGAGGCGCTGTGTTGTCTCTGGGCCCCAACAGAAATGGTTATAGCCAGAGCTATAAGAATACCTTGTATTTTTCTAGGTACGATGTTAAGTTCCGCCATCTCATCATATACCTGGACACGACTTTTTTTTTTTTTTGAGACAGAGTCTCACTCTGTCACCCAGGCTGGAATGCGGTGGTGTGATCTCAGCTCACTGCAACCTCTGCTTCCTGGGTTCAAACAATTATCCTGCCTCAGCCTCCCAAGTAGCTGGGATTACAGGTGTGTGCCACCATGCCTGGCTAATTTTTGTATTTTTAGTAGACAGGGTTTCACCATGTTGGCCAGGCTGGTCTCGAATTCCTGACCTCAAATGATCTGCCCGCCGCGGCTTCCCAAAGTGCTGGGATTACAGGCGTGAGCCACCGGGCCCAGCCCATACATGACTTTCGAAGTCACTTAGAAAATGCCCTATTCCTAGTGGGCACACTCCTATATCTTACAATCTGATTCAGTTTTCAAATAAGCAGAACAATATCATATACCCACAGAACACTGGTTTTGTATGTACAAGCTTCGCCGTCCTCAGCACAATCTTCATTTAAAATCAACACTCCCTATAAGGGAAAATAATTTATATTCTATTTAATTATTTTATAATTCTACTTGGTTTTGAGAAATGTCTCTCCAGATTATGGATGTCTGCTTGAGGCTTTAGGGTTTGAGCTCTGGCCTAAAGAAGATGGCTGTCTGGGCAAACATTCCTTCCCCAAGCTTGGCTCTGAAGTGCAGCTGGCAACCCGGTGCCCCTGAAGAGTCAGACAGATGCAGGTTGGAGTGTGGTTCTACCACGCACTAGCCTGGCTGTTAAGACCTTTGAAACAGTGGTTTTCATGGATAAATATCCATTCTGCCATGTGAATTGTGCATCGTGGTATCTATTTTATCAGATGGTTGTTGGGATCTAATGGCATGAGTATGCAACATCCCAAGTCAGAGTTTAGTAATCCCAGGTGCATAATAAATGGTATTTACTACTTTTATAGGCAATTTTAAAAAGAAGAGCTAGTATTTTATTCCTCCTATGCCCAGTCCAGTGAATTTCCTTGCACACAGTGATTCATAACATTGGCTGAATGAATAAAGGAATACATGAAAATATTTCTTTCTCCTTAAAGCATTTTCACATTCATTACCTAATATAACAACCAATATAAAGATGTGACAGTAATATCGCCTGCCTTCATGCGCTGTTGTATTTCTTTCTTCTGAATCCTTGATCTCCTGTTGATTTCCATGGCTACAATCCTAGTTTACAAAGGTATTTAAAAACAGAGCCGAATGTTCTTTAAGAGCATGGGCTCTACAGCTGTGTGTCTGGTGAATCTAGGATCCACCTCTTACTGGCTGTAGTTTTGGGCAAGCTTTTTTTTTTTTGTTTTTGAGACAGGGTCTTGCTCTGTCGCCCAGGCTGGAGTGCAGTGGGGGGATCTCGGCTCACTGCAAGCTCCGATCTCAGCTCACTGCAAGCTCCGCCTCCCGGGTTCACGCCATTCTCCTGCCTCAGCCTCCCGAGTAGCTGGGACTACAGGTGCCCGCCACCACGCCCGGCTAATTTTTTGTATTTTTAGTAGAGACGGGGTTTCACCGTGTTAGCCAGGATGGTCTGGATCTCCTGATCTTGTGATCCGCCCGCCCCGGCCTCCCAAAGTGCTGAGATTGCAGGCGTGAGCCACCGTGCCCGGCCTGGGCAAGCTTTTTAATCACTCCAAGCCTCGCGTTTTCCCATCCGTAAAATAGGGACAATAGTAAAAGCCCCCATCATACAGCTGTTGCCAGGATTAAATCAGGTCCTCCATGGAACACCCTGAAAATAGACCCTTGTGGGAGGCAAGTGCTCTTTCCCTGCCTGCACCCGCACCCCTCCCTACTCTGTCCTGGGCACTTCTCTGAGCACAGAGGCTGCAAGGACAACCAGACCAACTCTCTGTATTCAAGGAGCTAACATGTGGTACCTTTTCCTTTACATTTATTCTTCCCATAAGTAACAGGATAGGCTCTGAGTAGAGCAGTTTTGATCATGTCACTTCTTAAAACGCAGCTCCCTCAAGCCTGGTCCAAATGTCCTGTGAAATGCTGTCCCAATATTGCTACCCTTGATTCTTGGTCTGCTCTCTTTCTGATCAGACTTGAGTTCCTGTTGACCCCTGAACATCCCCTCCTCCACTTTTTCAGCTCTGCCATGTGCTCTGGTGTTCCCACCTCTTGGAATAGTGCCATTGTCCCTCTCTGCTTCTGACAGGGCCCCTCTTGCTAACTGGACTGGATCAGCCACTGAATTTCAAATTCCTGCCATATTCCCTGTCCTCCTTTGTTTCCTCCTCCTTTCCTGAATTTACATATTATTTATAGATTTACTGAAAATGTAACACATTCTTATGGTTCAAAATTCAAAAGCTAGACATAAAAATGTTTGTCTGACATCCTTATACCCTGGATGCCCCACAGACAACCAATGTCTTAAGATTCCTTTTATGCATATACATGTTGATGTATCCCATGGTCTTCTTTATACACAGATGGAGTGTGCTGTACACAAACAGGAGTATCCTATACATGTAGTTCTCCATCTTGCTTTTCTCCCATAACAATATATCACAGAGGAGATTCCATGTTCCTTTACAAGGAGATTCCTCCTTCTCTTTGGACTGCATTACATGCCGTGGTGTGAATGGACTATAATTTAGTCAATGGGCAGTTATTTAAGTGGGTTCCATTTTCTACTATTACATACAATGCCGCGAGGTACAGCCTTCATTCTGTACACATGTAATGCTCATAACTCGATGGAGGGAGGGTGTGTGCATTTATAAGTGTGATAGATGTTGTCACCTTCTCCACCCTAGAAGACATATAAATTTTCACTCCCAGCAGCCTCATGTGACAGCATCAGGTTCTTCTCTCTTGACAACATTAATGTGTCACCATGCCTGTTAGTCTTCTCCTAACTCAATAGGTAAAAAGTGATATCTCAAAATAGTTTAATTTACACACGATTCTATAGGTAGAGAATCAAAGGAAAAATCTTCCATTTTTCTAGATTCTTGTCTGGTTGGTTGCAGCACCTTCAGAAAAATTTTAGTAATAATGAGGATAGTAGTTGTCCCTGTCTTATTCCCGATTTAATGAAAAGGTTTCTAGTCACTCCCCTTTAGGCCCGATGCTAGTTTGAGGGTTAAAATGTTAAATTTCTATACATACATATATATGTATATATGTATATGTGTGTGTGTGTGCGTGTGTGTGTGTGTGTGTGTGTGTGTATTTTCTGTTTTGAGACGGAGTTTCGCTCTTGTTGCCCAGGCTGGAGTGCAATGGCACGATCTCGGCTCACCGCAACCTCCGCCTCCCAGATTCAAGCGATTCTCCTGCCTCAGCCTCCCTAGTAGCTTGGATTACAGGCGTGTGCCACCACGCCTGGCTAATTTTTGTATTTTTAATAGAGACGGGGTTTCTCCATGTTGGTTGGGCTGGTCTCAAACTCTCGACCTCGGGTGATCTGCCCGCCTCAGCCTCCCAAAGTGCTGGGATTACAGGCATGAGCCACCATGCCCGGCCTATACATATACCTTTCAGAGTTTTTTTGGTGGGGGGGCAGGGTCTCGCTATGTTGCCTCCTGGACTAGCCTCTTTCCTCGGCCTCCTAAGTAGCTGGGATGACAGGCATGTGCCATCTCACCCAACTGAGTTTTTTTTTTTTTTTCTTAAATCAAGAACGGACTGAATTTTATCAAATACTTTTCAGCACCTATGGAGAAGATCATATTATTTTTCTTCTAAGGTCTTTTAGTACATTGAATTTTATTAATAAGTTTCACATTGGCAAACCATCCTTACATTCCTGGAATAACCTCTACTTAGTTGTGGTGTGTTTCCTTCTAATGTGCTGTTGCATCGTGTCTGTTACTGTTATACTTAGGATTGGTCAATTCCTTTTTAAAAACCAAAGAGTTTGGTAGTTTTCTTTCTTAGGTGAGTTTTATAACATTGTATGTTTGCTTTGTTAAAGAATTATGCCACTGTCTACTCCCCTTCCCTCCCTTTCTTCTTTGTTTCTTTCTCTTCCCCCCACCTTCTTTCTTTTTCTGCACCTGGAGCAATTTTAACAGCACTGGGATTATCCATTCAGAAAAGATTTGGTAGAATTCCTCTTGGGAATCTTCTAAGCCTGGTGCCTCTCATGGCCTGACCCTGAGGAACCAGCCCTGATGGCCTTTCTATCTGTTACCCTGGTGTCTGCTGATTAGATAGGATTCCTTCCATGGGATGACCATTGAGGGGCTGGACTAAGGTAAGGTTCTGGCCAGTAAGGCAGCTCATATGGCAAAGTGACACAGAACCTTATGTGCTCTCTTGGGCATTGTGAGTCTGAGCTGCCCACACCGATGGAGCAGAGAGAAAGTGGCCCTGGCTATTCAGGGCACCCTAAGGTGACGGCTGCGTCACTGTTGGTACAGAGTCCTTGGAAACTCTGGAACTGCTGCCATTACCAGAATAAAAACAAACCATTGTCCCATCCTTTGAAGGCGGTTGCTACCTTTATGGTAGCAAGGCCTAAGTTTATATTCAGGGTGTCTCTTTCTTGCAACTTAAGAACCTAAATAATAAGAGGCAATATGAGTTACCCATTAGGAATAGAGAGCTTGGAGCTAAACAGGCCTGGGTTTGAGTTTTGGCTCCGTCCTTTATCAGCCTCCTGCTGCTCACAACTAGACTAGAAACTCCTTATGGGCAAAAACTCCTCCTGATATCCTCAGGCTTAAACCACATTTATTTAAGGAAACAGATTCTGTAATCTGACATCCACATTAATGATACAAAGGTTAGAGTGAAAATTGTCTGTATATCTTTCATCTCAAGCTTCCCTTTTAGAATGACAAGGCCAAAAATAAATTAGAAAACTACTGTAATTGTTTCTCTAAAGTGTTCTTTGATTTCACCGAAGTACAAGCTTTGACCAGTATAGATCAAATGGAGATGTACAGACCAAATGAAAAGGAGTTTCTGTAAATATAGGCTGTATTTTAGGTGATTCAGAGCCTATGATCTCCTTGTTTTGCTTTCTGCTTTATGAAGCAGACTGGGAGTCTTAGTCATATTTATTTTCAAACATGTTACTAAATAATAGGTACTTAAAGAAATCAAATCAATAACTATCAAAACAGTACATTTAATTATTTGCTTACATGTTCAAACACACTCTACCTGAAAATCTTGACCTCTAAGTGCTATTTTTAATTTCAATCTTTTTTTTTCATGTTCTACTGCCCTTTGTGACTTGGCAAAGAAGAAATTTAAAATAATGTAATGTCATTGGAATTGTCATGTAATGACTTCTAAGGTGTAGTTTTGACTGCACTGATTACTTTGAACATAAACCTCTACTTAGGAGTGTTTTTCTTTGTTTTAATCTGTAAATGAAGTCAAAGGATGATGATTGTTCAAGAAGTTAAGCTGCAGGGATGCTTCAATTTTCTGACATAGCTTCCTTTCCAATAAACTAGACTTCCTTCTAACAGGGAAACAGACTAGTGTAATAGTGGTGTTTTCTACAAGTCTGTGTAATCATTGAGAAACGTAGTAAACTTCCTCTTGTGTTTGCAGAATAGAAAATACAAAAACCATGAGGGAATTACATAGACTTCAGAAGGTTTTGCAACCTCTTCCCTAATTTTGCAGCCTTAGTTAAAACAAGCAAACCCTTTTATATTGAGAGGCTGTAGTCTGAAGCATATCATGACATTCCCCTAATTTTTGGAAACCAGAGGTAGAAGCTGTTCTTTTGTGTTTTTTTGGTGGCTCTAGTACAAACTGCACAGACAGCCTCAGAAGACAGGTTGCTTTGGGAAAATTTCATTTTTCATCTGCAAATTTGTTTATCTCTTCAAAAACCATTGTTTTCTTTCTATTAAATGGTATTTAGTCAGTTTTCTTATTATTTGATAAGCTTAATCAATTACTAAAATTGCTTGAACTAAGAAAGCCTAGAACTAAAACAAAATGGAACCCTGGATTAGAAGATACTGATCTAAATTTATCAGGGAAATTTCCAAAGGCCTTAGAGATAGCCTTTCACCTCTTGGAAACTCAGTGAAGTACTCTACGAAAAAATAACGAACGAGTCTGTGTGATCTTAAACACATCACACAACTTCTCTTGCCCCAACCTTGCCCAACTTGGTCCCATGGACAATTATTACATGGCTCTGTGTGACCCTGCATGAGTTGACTCTCGCTACCTCTCCAGTCTCCTCTGGAACCTTTCTCTGCACCATTCTTGCATTCTAATGCCTCAATCATCTTTCAGTCCCTAATGCTGGTCATGTTTCTTTTTTACCATATCGTCTGCTTGTACTATTTCCTCTCCCTGGAATGTTCTTTTTGTCCATTTTTGCTAGTTAATACACAATTATCCTTCATATCTCAACTCCATCATCACTTCTTAGAAAAACCTTTCCTGATCCCCCATCTGGGTCAATGTCCCATTATAAGCTCTCATATCACCAAAACACTTGCCTTCACAGAAGTTTCTCAAATTGTGATTTTTATGTTTATTTATGTGATTATTAGACTAATATTTCTCTTTTCCTTTATAAGCTTCATAGCTTGTTTTTGCACAACATCAAATCCCTAGGGTCTAACAGGATGCCTGGCTCAGAGAATACACTCAATAGAATATAATTGAATGTTAATAATAGAGGTTACTGATAGAAAGAAAAACAAGTCTCTAATTTTGAGTCCTAGTTCCTCCTGCTAAGTGACTTGTAAGGTATTGGAGATTACATTTCTTTGGTCTTTAATTTTTTTACCCTCTAAATACAAATAATAAGAATAGTCCTCAAAGTTATTGTAAGAAAAAAATAGATATAATGACTACAACTGATAGGGATTAAAGGGTATTTAAAATGCTTCAGATTTTTTGATGAACTAAACTACTGGTATATTTGGCACTAAGAATTTCAGCTACACAGACTGATTTATCAATTCTACCCTATCACTTGCTACAGGTTGAGCATCCCTAATCTGAAATGCTCCAAAATCTGACATTTTTGGAGTGTTGACATGACACGACACCACAAGGGGAAAATTTGACACATAAGTACTTAACACAAACTCTGCCTCATGCAGAAAATTATTTAAAACACTGCATGAAATTACATTCAGGCTATGTGTATAAGGTGTGTCTGCAACATAAATTTCATGTGTACACTTGGGTCACACCCCTAAGATATCTCCTGATGTATGTGCAAATGTTCCAAAATCCTAAAAAGTCTGAAACCTGAAACTCTTCTGGTCCCAGGCATTTCAGGGAAAAGATACTCAGCCTGTACATGTATATTTAGAAATAATTAATAGATAAGCATATCTATAATAATTTTAATTTTAAAATGCATGTATGCTTTTATACCATGTTTGCTGTTAAATGCAGAAATGTGGGTATTCATACATTTAGTAATAATGTTTTTGTATAGTACTTTTATAGCTTACAGTGAATTTTCATAAAGATTATTATGGTTTCATTTTATAAATGCAATATCAGACTTGTTTATGTAATTAAGTGAATTGCCTAAGGTCACAGACCTAGTAAATGAAGAGCTGACATTGGAATAGAGATGCTCTGATTTGAGTTTAGTGTTCAGCTCCAACTCCCTGAGAAATTCTAATCATCTGCCAATTTTTTAGGCTGCTTTCTTTTCTGTGTGGCTGCATACAATTTAGAGAATGGGTGCTTCCTTTCAACCAGCCGACTGTCGGGTTCTCTGGGCTACACACTGCAGTCTGCATTGTTGGAGGCTTGGTTTCAGAGTATTCCTGAAGGTCTTTTAGAGTTCACCTGGGGACATGCTTGTTCTCTTTGGTTTACTGTTTGCAAAGTACTGGTCCACATGCTTTACGTATAATAATACTATACTTATTTTGAGATTAAATGACTATATATATATATATATATATATATATATATAAAACACTTAGAACTTATATATAATTTAGAACAATGCCTGATATACGGCATGCACTACATAAATACAACTTATTTTTCAATAAATCTTTATTTAAAAAACAGTATGGCTGGGAGTGGTGGCTCACGCCTGTAATCCTAGCAATTTGGGAGGCTGAGGCAGGCGGATCACTTGAGGTCAGGAGTTTGAAACCAGCTTGGCCATCATGGTGAAACCCCATCTCTACTAAAAATACTAAAAATTAGCTGAGCATCGTAGTGCATGCCTGTAATCCCAGCTACCTGGGAGGCTGAGGCTTGAACCCGGGAGGCGGAGTTTGCAGTGAGCAGAAATTGTGCCACTGCACTCCAGCCTGGGCAACAGAGTGAGACTCCACCTCAAAAAAAAAAACAAAAAAAAAAAACAACAACAACAACAACAAAAAAAACAGGCCAACAAATCCATAAAAAGATGCTCAACTTCATTTGTTATTAGGAAAATGGAAGTCAAAAACCACAGTGAGATACCACTTTATGGCCAACAGGTTGGCCAAAATAAAAACCAAATAGAAACAAACAAAAAAGAACATAACAAGTATTAGTGAGGATGTGAAAAAACAAACTCTCATACACCGCTGGGAGAATGTAAAATGTTACAGCCATCTTAGAAAACAGTCCATAAATTATTTTAATGGTTAAACGTAGAATTACCACATGACCCAGTAATTCCATTACTAGGTATATGCCCAGAAGAAATGAAAACATATGTCTACCTGAAACTTGTACATAAATGTTCATAGCAGCCTTATTTATAATGGCCAAAAGGTGGAAGCAACTCAAATTTCCATCAACTGATGAATGGATAAAAATGTGGTATTTGCATCCAATGGATGATTAGGCAGCCATAAAATGGAACACGTGGTACAAGGTGGATGGATCTCAAAAACGTTCTGCTAAGCAAAAGAAGCTAGACACCAATGGTCACATACTATACAATTCTATTTATATAAAATATCCACTATATGCAAATCCATAGACACAGAAAACAGACTGGTAGCTGCTGGGGGAGGGGCTCTAGGAACAAATGGGGAGTCACTGCTTAATGGATGCAGGGCTTCCTCTAGGGTGATGAGAATGCTGTGAAACTAGAAAGAGATGACAGGTACCAACACTGAATGAATTAAATGCCACTGAATTGTGTACACTTTAAAATGATTCGTGACTAATTTTACGTTATATAAATTCTACCTTAAAAAACCAAACAAACGCAAAAAACCCAAATTGTAAGAGGCAAGTACAATTATTCTCTTTTTTTTTTTTTTTCCAAATGAAAATACTATGGCACATAAAGGTTAAGACACTTGCTTCAGGTTTCACAGGTAGTTAGAGGAAAAACCAAAACAGGAATCTAGATAGTCTGATTTCAGGTAGTCAGACTCCAACTACGATACTTACATTCCTCATGTTATTCTTTTCTGCTGTTCTTTGATTTGATTCAAGTGACAATAAAAGCTAAAACCGAGCTCTAAAGGGGGAAGGGTGGAGAAGGAAAGGGATGACTCAACATATACTTAGAGTGAATGCATTCATGTGTATGATTAAAGAACAATGTCACTTGGTTCTGCAATATTGTGAAATCGCAGCAAGGATGCCAGCGTGGGAGAGCTATTGAAAACTGGTCAATGGATTTAATTGTTGAAGTGTTCTTCCTTTCTAATTAGTGCATCATTAAGTGAATTAAGTGAAGTCATCTTGCTCTTTGGTAACCAATGAGAATTATGATGAGACACAGTAGGAACCACATACACATTTATAGCCATGTTATTAAAGTATGAACTATTTTAATTAATAATATATATCAATAATATATGTCAATTAATTCCCCCTTTTTCTGAGGGATCACATAAGATAATGTTCGGGGCAACTTCAAATAATGTTATAACAGAACATAAGATGTCTAAGATTTCAGACAGGTGGCAATAGTGGCAAAACATGATTAAAGACCTATGGTAATTGCACAAACACTTTGTTGGCTAACAAATTATTTTAACCTTTGTGCATAACTAAACTAGAAAGGCTGGCTTTCATTTATTATGATTATCCACCTCCCTTCCAGGTCTCTTTCTGGACCTAGCTGAGGTGAAACAAAGACACCGAGTGATATATCAAATTACTCTAAGAGAGCCTCTGGCATCGCTAAATAATCAGAATAATTTAACAACCATTTCAACAAAAACAAATGGCACACAGTAGTTCAGTTTCCAGGGATTCGTTTGGAATTATAAGATAAACTTTAAAAAGATGTTTTATTCCTAACTTGATTTTTACTTCACACACACACAAACACAGACACACCTCACACAAAGTGATTATTTCATATTTTTTTCATCCTTCAAAGCAATAAAACTTATCTTTAGGGAACAGATTAATATTTAACTTATTCGTGGTAGTATCATAATAAACTAACTTGGGAAAGGCTCCTTAGTTTTAGATAGTAAATATGAGAGATTCTGGTTCCAAATGGAAGTGTCAAAAATATTTCTATTCTGGCTCTTTCCCTATGGGGCATGTGTTGAGACATTATCATTTCCCTTATAAATATTGAGATCGGTGGCTGAAAGTTATGTGTCTATGTTTTTTGCTTTAGCAACTTTCTGTATACCTAAAAGTTGCCACTCACTCATTTCTACCCTCCTGGTTTTTATCTCAGTTTCAAGGCCATCAAACAGCCTCCTAAGCAATCATTCAAGTTTTAAAGAGACTCTTGAATGCTGCTTGTTTTCAGGAAGCTTTCTCCAGTCAAGTTTCTGCTCAAAGAATACAAGTATTCACTGGCCATCTCTTCTTTTAATTTAGCAGGTGATTAATTACTATTAATGTGCTACAGAGAATATTGTTCATTTGAGGGCTTGCTTACAATTTTCTGTTGAGATGAGTTTTACCTACCTTCTTTGCAAAATCCCACTCAAGTAAATGTTAGCTCTTCTAAGAAGCCTTCATGCACTATCCTAGCTAGTGATGCCCCTCTCTAACTCCTTTCCATTTCCTCCCTCCTCTTCTCTCTGTTTACCTCCTTCATGCCATAAATGTTTATCAAGAATCATTTACGTGTCAGACATTGTGCTGGGCACTTTCTCAACTCACCCTCCCTTTCATGGTCTGTAATCATCCATGGCTTTTAATTGTCTTCCTGGTAGCGATCTCATACCATCTGTATTAGTCCATTCTCACATTGTAATAAAGAACTACCCAAGACTGGGTAATTTATAGAGAAAAGAGGTTTAATTGGTTCACAATTCTGCAGGCTGCACGGGAAGCATGGTTGGAAAGGCCTCAGGAAACTTAAAATCATGGAGAAAGACGAAAGGGAAGCAAACACATATTCACATGGCCAGCAGGAGAGAGAGAGAGCATGAAAAGGGAAGTGCTACCCACTTTTAAACAATCAGATTTCGTGAGAACTCACTCATGAGACAGCACTAGGGGGACGGCGCTAAACCATTAGAAACCACCCCCGTGATCCAATCACCTCCCACTAGGCCCCACCTCCAACACTCAGGATCACAATTCAACATGAGATTTGGGTGGGGACACAAAGCCAAACCTTATCACCTTCTATACTACACAGCTATGAGCGAGTTGGGTTCGAGAACTCTTACTGATTCATGGTTGTACAAATAAGTTGGTGTGGTGGAGGGAAAGGGATAGAGATGTGAACATAGAGATAGGACAGTTAGCACCAGGCTCAAGGAAGCAGTGGATGAAGCCAAAGAGGTAATGGAGAATGTTAGATTTTTGCAGGGACAAGTACAACTAGACCAGAATTTTAAATAGCTTACAAAATTTAAGATCACCTGGAACGATCCCTCCTGAGAAACTGCTAAGAAACACAAAAACATAAAAATTTGTTACATTGATATGCCTGCTAAAGTATTTAGGTGAAAGCATATAGATGTCTACAACCAAGTTTGAAATGCATCAAATAAATATGATGGATTTTTAGATGGACAGAGGGACAGATATGTGGTATTATAAGATTATCACAATGTAAATTATTGACTCTAAAAGGTGGGTTTATAGATGTTGATTGTAACATTCTTCCAACTTTTCATTATGTATGAAAATGCTTATAATCAATGTTGAGGAAAAATGCTAGTCATAATGTAAAAAGAGCAATAAAAATGTTGTTCCCTTATTTTACCCACTGATCAATCTATAAGCAGACTCTGACCTGTCAATACATTCTGGGTATGTGTGTGTGTGTTTGTGTGTATGAGTGAAAAAAAAAGTCTGTTAGTAAAATCCCCTAATGCTGACTAGGTTCAAATGACATATTTATGTATCAGATTAAAATGCATTCATCTCAGTTGTAGTTTGCCTTGTCTATACATAGCAAAGGAAATTCTTGTCTAATTGAGAGAAAGTGGATTTGGAAATTGCAATTCATCTAAAGTTTAAATGAAAATATGTGTCAACACTGAGTTAGGTAAATTCTGAATGGATTTCACAATGAAGCCATTTCTCAAAAAGAGTCAACTAGAAACCTGAAACCCTCTCTATAATTTTTTGCTCAAAAGCTAAGAAATGCTTTTGGGAATGCATGATGACTTTGTGATTATCCTGACCATTACAAAGCCATTGTTGGAAGGCCATGATTTATTACAGGGACACTCATCATTTCTGTTGAAGTCAGCATTATTAAGTAACGGCTAGCAAGGTGGAATATGGTAAAGAGTGTCGGAAACACTTAATGCATGTAGATCAATAAAACCTATTTCAATTTGCAAAGTCAAGAGTGAAGGGCATTGCCAGAAACAACTGCATAATAAGGCTGTTAAATCACTGCAAACTTTATGAATGAAGTGACATCTGATACACAGTGAAAGAAAGACATGACAAAAACTAGGAAATGGCTTTTACTCTTGAGTCTGAGCAATGCAATTTTTAAAACGAAGCAATTAACTTTAAAATGCCTTCCACTTATCTGAATTCTTTTGAATTTTTTCAGTATTAAGCTTTAAAAGAATGATGGAAACATGCTAGCTCTGAAAGTACATTTTCCATATTTTCACATAGGAAGATATTTCTGAAATTCCTAATAGCCATAGCAATTTAGAATGAACAGATTGGTAAAACTTTTGTAAGTGTATTTCTTCTCTGGAAATAATAGTGACAGACAGCCCATGTTTCATGCTGGATGTGATTTTGTAGGCATGAAAGACAAGACATTTAGAACTCTTTATCCTCTTCACAGGCTCTGTTTTCTGGGTAGCATTTATTATTTGTTTATCATACCAATGCTAGTGATTAGTATTTCTTCTTCCTTTTATATACTCTTTTCTCACTTGTAGTTTCAGGAGAAAAACACTTAGGATGCTGTGTTTTCTTGTTCCTAGTCATTTCTTTGGCAAGAAGACCATGAATAAGACTCAGAAGGATTGTTTTTTGTTGTTGTTGTTTTTGTTGTTCACTGTACATCACCAGTGGACAGAATAGTCTCTGGCACAAAGGAGCTCAATAGGTATTTTATGAATGAATGACTAAATGGATAAATGAATATTACAAGTAAATCTGGAAGCATCCATTTTCAGAGGGACTAAAGAATAAAATCATATTCCAAGCATGATCATTGTTTCTGATGTAATCCTTGATGGTCTCTTCGTTTATATTGCCTATGGCAGCCTACATTTTATTTTAAGTTTCAAAATTCTAAAGAACAATGAATTTACTGAAATAGGTATTTTTTAAGATTTTATACTGTGACTCATATCTTAAATAGAATATCACATGTATCCTCCATAAAAGCTATGATGTAGGTAAAATCTTTAAAATGAAAACACAGAGCAATTCCTAACTTCTCCACCAATGTGGGACAACATCTAAGCTTTAAGTAAATTACATAGCATCCTCTTCCTTCTTGTTTTTTCAAATCTTTCTTTTGAGATTTAGTTCTAGGATTTTATACTACGAAAAGGATAGAAACAAAGGTAAATAAGATTGGTTCAAAAATTATTTTTTATGGCTTAGAGGCAAGATGGAATTTCTTCCATTATCCCTTCTCCTTTTAACTTAATCTAATTTGAGAAATATTGATTTTGTGCTGAATTTTTGCATAGAGGAGAGGAAGAGGAACACACAGGTGAATCAGGCATGCTTCCTGAAGATACAGTTTGTCATCTATACAACAGAATACACTAACTGATTAATTTTTTTGTACAAATAAACAGAAGAGGTAAAAGAGTATTTATTTTTTTCTTCTTTTAAATTCAAAAACAGTTAAATTCTACTTAAAAAGGCAATGTCTTATAATATTGGAACTTAGAGAGTTTTATTAAATGTATAAGAAAAAATAATATTTTCATTTAGCAACAAAAAAACTGGTACTATGCTTGGCTAGAAATTGCATTTTCCAAATCACTGACAACTGTTGGCATTGAAAAAAAGAAAAGAAAAAAACAAGACTATTTCAAGATGTTGGATTTACTTTACAAAATTGGGCAGAGTTCAGATTTTAAAAAATACATTTACAACAGAATTTGACATTAAGTTTACTCTAATAAAACTCGAAATTCTAACTCTTCACATATTTAAAAACTACTTCTCCAAATATTCATTTGGTCATGGGGAGAATACTGAAATAAAATATATATTTATAAATAAAATCTCATAGGATAAGACCAACACTTTATTGAGAGGTTAATTTTTAGTGATAGTTTCCCTCTACTAAGAGAAAGAAAGAAAATAAACATCATTAAATTTAAAAAGTTGAAAAAGAACAACGATGAAAACCTTAAGGAATAGAAAGAAAAAACCCATAAGGGTAAAATAAATTCATTTGAACACAGAAAAACAAACGCCAAGTATAATAGTCCAAACTTTCATGACAGAATGTATTAACTTTTTATAAGAGAGATTTAGAGAAAACAAAGACGTAAACAAAAGTTACCATGTAACACCTGTCAATACATAAATTAGAATGTTCACAATGACAGATGAATTTCCCATAATAATACTATTAAGTGTAAACTTCTTTCATTTAAAATTAATCTCATGAAAATATTTTGTCATGACCTATGTGCCATGTGCCATGAACTACGTCAGCACTATGTGCTGAATAATTCTAGGGTGTCTGAAGACTAACGTTAAAATATGGGCAACTGGAAAGATTTAGGTTGGCTGTTCATAATCCAAGACTGTATGAGCACATTTTTCACTCACACATTATTTCCTGAAGAATTTATTAGCATTATGGGTCTGAACATTGAGTCAAGAGCCCCGAATTCTAGTCTTGGCTACTATGACTTTATAGTCTTTGTTACAAATGAAAATCCCCCTCTCTGGGAGGGCATTGTATTGCTTGTATCTGAAATTTGGTTCAAAGAATATAAATGAGGACTTGGATAAAATGCCTGATTATTACACATGCACAAGCATGTCATCGTCATCATGACCATTATATTGAAAGGAACTTTAAAGGTTTCCAGAGGGGCACACAGCTTAAAGTTACAATGACTAGACCAAGCTCACATTGTAGTTACAGGCAGTGCCTAATACACTGCTTTTTCAAATTTGTCAGACTGTTTCTTTTTCTACCTTATGAAACAAACATAGATTTTTCATTTTTCTTTTAAATCCTTTCCCAAAATATTTTCCAGGATTTCTGGAATTGACCAGGGAAACATTACCTTTACACCCCTTCAACAAATTCAGTGTAAATACAAATAGAAGAGAGTTTATTGGAGTTGAATTGGACCTGCTGTCTCATGTTTCTGCTGATAAGTTAAAGGACAGTAAGGATGATAATGAAGAAGATGATCAGCACTTCTCAAACATCACGATGCCCACAAATCACCCAGGAATTTTGTTAAAATAACAGACTGACTCAGTGGGCCAGGGTTGGGACTTGAGAGTCTTCACCTCTAATAAGCTCCTGGGCGATGATGCTGGCAGCTTTGAGAAGCCCAGTTCTACGAGATGATAGGAAAGCCTTTCATTTAGAAACTGCTTTTTTATAAAGTGTCATCTCTAAAGGTAAGAAAACTATACCTTTTTAATGCTAGCTTTATGGAAAAGAAGCAAATAGTCAAATAGGCAAGCAGATGGCTGCAACACTTTCTATAAACTAAGTTCTAGGCCACTGCTGAGAACAGCACATGCTGCTTCCATAAGTATATTACAATGATTCTGGGTCCCCAAGAAGGTGTCAGATGTTGCTATTTATTTCCCATTTGAAAAGGGCTGTGGGTGTTTAATACATTTCAGGAAGATTTTTAATCAAATGTGGTCAAATTTGGGATCCTTAAAGACCTCAATTTCATTTGTCAGACAATTGCATTATATGCAACAGCTTCTTCTCAAAGTGAGGGTGATAAACACTGGGCTGAAGTCCCTCTTTTTAGGGTTTTGCCTGCTCCTGCCAAATAATATTGGAAGATAAAATAAAATGCTTTACTTATATTTGCAATAACATAGCAAAGACACATGGTTCTCCCTGAATAAAAAGAAATTATCTTTTCTTATAACTTTTAGGATCTTTCAGAGTGATGGAAATTCTAGTTCAAATAACTAATTGTTTTTTAAAGAAGAATTTAAAAAACACCAGATTGCTTTCTTCAGATTTTCTTTAATTTCTGAGACCAATGATTAAATCTGCTACATTACCCTGACTTCAAAATGAAGCATAATTTTTCATTTTTGCAACTCATTTTCTCTGCCTCACTGGAAAGTAGTCAAAGTGAGTTTTCCTCATCAGTATTATTTTTCCTAAGCTAGGTTAGCTCTGATTTTCTCATTTTTTCTGTAGCTTCACTGTCCTTTGGGCCTGAATCTTGGGGTTCACAGCAGATATAAAAATGGTACCTGTGTCAGGGATGTCTGATATCCCATAATTGGAAACCTACTTGTATTAGTTTTCCTCATGCTGTGAATAAAGACATACCCAAGACTGGGTAACTTATAAAGGAAAGAGGTTTAATTGATTCACAGTTCTGTATGGCTGGGAAGGCCTCAGGAAACTTACAGTCATGGCGGAAGAAGAAAACACGTCCTTCTTCACATGGCAGCAGCAAGGAGAAGTGCCAAGCAAAAGGGGGATGATCCCCTTATAAAACCATCAGATCACACGAGAACTCACTCACTGTCATGAGAACAGCATGAGGGGACCCACTCCCATGATCTAACTACCTCCCAGGAGGTCCCTCCCGAAACACGTGGGGATTACGATTCAAGATGAGATTTGGGTGGGGAGACAGAGCCAGATTATATCACTACTCTTCATAGATGACTGGTGATAACAGATTTCTTAACAAATGAGATGACATTTTTGAAAAGAGCATACAGTTGACCTTTGAATGACACGGGTTTGACTGCCTGGGTCTATATGTAGATTTCTTTCAATGAAAATTACACCGAGTGTGCCTGCCTCTCCTGCCTCCACTTCCACCTCCTCCACAGACACCTCTGTTATCCCTGAGACAGCAGGATCAGCCCCACCTCTCTTCCTTCTCCTCTTCAGCCACTCAGTGTGAAAACAATGAGGATGAAGATCTTTATGATAATTCACTTCCACTTAATAAATAGTAAACATATTTTCTCTTCTTAATGGTTTTCTTAATAACATTTTATTTTTTCTAGCTTACTTTGTTGTAAGAATACAGTATATAATACATATAACAAAATATGTGTTAATATAACAAACAAAATATGTGTCAATCCATTGTTTATGTTACTGGTAGGCTTCCTGTCAACAGTAAACTACTGGCAGTTATATGCAGATTTTTGACTGTGAAGAGGATCAGTGCTCCTAATCCTTATGTTGCTCAAGGGTCAGCTGTATATTTATTTTCCCAGGAATTTAAACATATTTAAATTAAAAGGATGTTCCATGTATAACAAAGGGAGCAGATACCTTTCAATAAGACAACCTGGGTTTGCCAGGTGAGGATACCCGTTTTATCTGTTACTAATAGTAACAAGAATAGTTCACATTTACAGTTAACTAGTTAAATAGTTAACACTTATTAGGCACTTGCTAAAAGCATTCTGTCTTAATTTTTGCAAATACCTTATGAGGCAGGTACCATTATTATCTCATTTTAAAGGCCCGGAAACTGAGGGAATAAGAGGTGAAGCAATTTGCCTAACGTCACACAGCTAGCAAAGGAGCGTCTATGGTCAAATCAAGATCACCCTGCTTCAAAAACTTGTACCTTTTGCTACTAGCTTAGACTATGAGAAAAGTGTCAAAATATTTGATAGGTTCTTTTTGTCTTTTGCAGCAAAACACGTTTGTGTCTTTTGATACAAATGTTATATTTTTATTATATTTTATGTATCATCTGAATGTTATTGTCTTGTGTCTCCTGACAATGTTTCTAGTATTCAAAGAGATGAAGTCAACAACCTTTATATGCAGACAGTATTTGAAGTTTGTTTTAGGACTCAAGTCCAGGCGTGTGCTGCACCTATAATGGGAAACGTCTGTAGATGAAAGAATGTGGCTGTTGGTCTTATCTCAGTGCTACAATGATACTTGAATCATCACCAGTAATAGAGACTACTGGGACAGTGAAGTAAATATGCAAAATCAGAATGGTATTCAGTGTCTTCCTCCATTGATGTGTTGGCTTTGCTAAAAACAGCCCAGATTTTGCCTGAATTGTAAACTAAGCAAATATAACTAGAGTATACATAGGGAACAGATGTTGATTTTTAAAAGACCATTTATCCATCATCACTTTTTTATATAATCAGCTGAAACTAGCATTCAATCTCTTTTCTTAAAATTGTTGAAAGTTCCATAAATTGTTAAAAATCCATAAGGACTAACACTCAAAGATTGCAAGGTGAAATTCAGTAATATCTATTTAAACTCTATACTGTAGCTATAGTTTGCTGGAATTATTTGTAGATGATCAAATTATTTTTTAATCCTATAGGACCAAGAATGTTCAAAACTGTATTCATGTATGTGCTGTGGAAACACCATGACACGTTTATACCATAGTTAGTTTAATGAGTCAAGTTGCATTTTATCTATTCTTGATAATAAATATGACATCCTGTGTTTTGTCATACATGAACAGATAATATTGAAAGTCTCTTCCAGAAATGAGTTCAAATAGGTATAAAGACTTCTGAATAAATGAACAGTCTCTTTTCATATTAGAGAAATACACCATAGGGATGCAGAAACTAAGAAAAGCATGTACCTGCTGCTTCCTAGGTGTGAACATCAAGCAAGTTATTTAACCTGTCTGTGCCTCAATTTCCATTTGAAAAATGGGGATAAAATATGAGGATAAAGTGATATAAATGTATATATATATACAACATATATAGATCACTTCACAATACTAAGCAGTCGGTGAATTGTAACAGTTTTCTAAAAATTTTTGGGGATCATTAAAATCATATAAAATCAACTGCAGTTTTCCTAACTGGATGTTTGGAAAGTATCAATAAGTAAAGTATATTGTAATTTGTTGTGGGTTAGAACCTATCAGAACAAAAGACTGAGCCAAATAGGAGATAATTTTGAGGTCAACACATTTCCAGAATAATTTTGAATGGCATAAAAATTTTCTCACAACTCCTCCCTCTCATTTTGTAAAGCATTTGGGTAGTGATTTTCTCCTTAGCTGAGTCAGAGCTAATTTTATTATTGAATGGTATGAAAATTCTCTGAATTTGGACAATGTCTCCTTAGCCATGGATGAATGGATATATCTATTATAATTAGGCAAATGTATGCATGAAAGCCTTAAAAGGGTATTTTTAATATGGAGATGAAGACTGTGTTAAATGGTGGTTTTGTCTCACATACTTCAATGGATCAGCTTCTTGCTACCATGAATCCACACAGTTATTCTTTTCTCTCCCCTCCCCTCCCCTCCCCTCCTCTCTTCTCTTCTCTTTTCTTTTTTCTTTTTGAGACAGGTTCTTGCTCTGTTGCCGAGGCTGGAGTGCAGTGGTGAGATCACAGCTCACTGCAGCCTCAACATCCCGGGCTCAAGCAATCCTCTCACCTCAGCCTCTAGAGTAGCTGGGACTACAGGCATGCACCACCAACACCTGGCTAGTTTTTGTATGTGTTTGTGTCTGTGTGTGTGTATATGTGTGTGTGTGTATATGTATGTGTGTGTGTAGAGATGAGGTCTCACTATGTTGCCCAGGCTGGCCTGGAACTCATGGGATCAAGTGATCCTCCCACCCACTTTGGCGTCCCAAAGTGCTGGGAGTACAGGTGTGAGCCTCTGCACCTGGTGGTTATTTTTCCTTGACTTATTTTTCCCTGACTTATTTTTCCCATGTGGTTCAACCTTACATCCTATCCCTTCCGCCTTTTTTAAATTATGGCTTTAAGAAATTAATACTAGAAAAAAACAAACTAAGGCCATTGTAAATAATAATTAAATGTATCGACATCAAATATAAATGTTTATGTATTATTTTGAAGATCTATTTTAGTGATTTCTAAGATATGGCATAGATTCTTATGGCCTATAAAATATCCATTCTCCCTTTCTCTCTGAAATAAACAGATCCTCTATTTTCAGCTGTGCACGTAACCACGTAGTGGAAAGGTAGCATTTCCTATCTTTCTGGCAGTCAGGAATGAGAAATAAAAGGAAGTGTTGAATCTACTTCTGGAAAGTCTCCTTTAAAAGAAAAGTGACACAACACCCTCACTTTCGTCTTATTTTTGGAATACAGATGTGATGGGTGGAGCTCCAGCAGCCATATTAGATGATAACAATGTGGATCAAATTCTATGGTGGACAGAGTAGAACACCAGAAGGAGCTTTGGGTCCTTACATGGAGATGGCATATCAGCTTAGCCTGCTTCTAAACCTTTTTACGTGTAAGAGAGAGAAATCCCTATTACTGAAGCTTAGTATTCTGTCTCCTGCAACTGAATTTAATCCTAATCAATAAATAAGATCATTTATATAGAGTACTCATCTTACAAGATGTTCTATCAAAACTGGACTTCTTTTAAGCATTACTCTATGCCGCTTATCTTTCCTGGGAATTCACCATTTATAGTCACATAGTAACGTAATAAAAACTCACAGAAGTACTGTAGCAAAGGAAAATGTTTGGTTTCATTGAGTCACTGTTTCCCAAACTTACATGATCACAGGTTTAAAAAAATTGTGGGTATAACATTTCTTAATATCCTTGGGTATTCCTTCCTCACAATTCACTTCGGGAAACGCTGATTTATATTGGCTGTTCCTCTGAATTAGCATTTACCATGAATTCTCCATATCACTCTGCCATTTGCTCCTTTGCTGTTGGGGAAATGTCTCAGTTTTTTCTCATAACCTGGCAAAGGTGGAAGTACTACTGTATTTTTTATTGGCTTATCCATTGGTGCATTAGACCGAGAATCCTTTCTGTGATATTGAGGCAATTAGTTTGATTGAATTTCGATAAAGTCTGTTGGATTTTTTCAAACTTGTAACAACAAATTAGTAGATGCCTACTAGGAGTAATAATTTTCCCTTTATGACTAGATATATGTTCAAGTCTCAAACAGCCAGTAACTATAGTAGTCCCAAGAATGTAATTTTTGTTATAGGCCTTTCAAGAGAAAGCGTTTTCTGGAAGTTACTTTAAAAATGACATTGATGCTACCATCTATGTCGGAAAGAAAATTCACACGGAAACAAAGCACAAATTTATGGTATCCACAAAAGCCCTGGCCCAGAAAATGTCTATTAAATCATAGCTTTTTAGAAAAAAAAAAAAGTTGTAAGTTTCACTTAAAAATCACTGACCTGAGATAAGCCTATGGAGATACATTTTCTTCTTCAACAGTTGAAGCTTTGTTAGTGCGCACTTAACAAATTTTCCCACCTATCCTTCTATTGACAAATTACTCTATACCAAACTTTTATTTTATAAAATCAATACTAACTTCAGGTCTAATTCTATAAAGGCAATTCTTAAGAGTGATACTTTGGAAAAACAAAAATAATGTGTAGTTAAAAAGAGTAAGCAAGAACTCATCTGAAAGTGAATGGCTGGCCATGATACATAAACATTAATGGTGAAGCCATGAAAACAGGCCAGAGGCTGTAATTCGGTATGCAAGACCTAATCTGTTAGTTGTTTTGTTGTTCTTTAGATTTACTAAGTTGTTTCAAATGTCTCTTTAAGAAATGTTTTCAGAAATAAAATTATGACTTTTTCATTTCAGGAACTCAAGTAAGCATAAACAAATATTCTCAAAGCTGGCACAAATGGTGGGTCCAAGCTCACGGAACTACATGAGAGCTGGGCGGGTGACACGCCACAGCAATGCTGACATGTATAAGCAATATCTAAGAGAACTGGGCATGGTGGAGCCTTCTGGAGACACAAGACTTTCAACCTGTGGATTCAGGCCCAGCAGGACTAGGTTGGACTTTTCAAGAAAAACTTGTAAATATCTTCATTTAAAAATATTGACAAGTAATTATCAAAAAACCCAAACCCAAACCCAAACCAAAACAAAAATAAAAACCTAGCAGAGTAAAAATCAAATGAAAACAAAACAATGTCAGTGAGTTGAGATCCTAATTTGGCTCATGAGCTGCTGTTTTGCTACCTCTTATTTATATAAAGTCCCTGAACACCTCAGAAAGGAAGCATTTCCTCAGTTTTCTAGTTTCTCCTTGTTAACTGGCTCTTTCATATGCATTGTGTAACTTTTTTACATTGTTACTAAGTAGAGTGTAATGGAAAATTTACTGTGATTTGATTACAATCTCTTATCTGCAAATATGCCATTCAGCCCATCTGTGACCTCTGCCATCTTGAAAATAGACTAGTCCTGTCAAGGCAGATGAAATACTGCTTCCATCTGGCAGTTGGAAAAAAAATTAAGACATCTTTTTATAAGCCCTCTTTCCTTAGTTCACACTGCATTCCATGTACAAAGTTCTGGCCGTCTTCTCCTCCACCCCTCTACTTCTTCTGTCCACAGTTATCAAAATGAATATCAGTGTTTGGGTTGGGAGCCTGGGCTTTAAAGCCAGGTGCATAAGGGGTGACTAACTGCTATGCCACTTACTCACCAATAATTCAGGGTAAGATACTTAGTCTTTCTGCATCTCAGTATCCCTATCCATAAAGCTGTCTTGATAATAATAGTCTACTTATTGGAAGAAATGTTTATTAAATAGAATAACAACAAATCATAGTTTGTTCTATCATAAACCCTAGGTAAAGATTAGCAACGGCCACCCATTTTACCAGCATATAGCTCTAACGCTCGGGAAATTCTTCCTGAATTTGAGTTAAAATGTCATCTATTGGTCCCAGTGCTACTTCTTAGGGCCTAATCCACCAAATTTATTCTTAAATGTAGCCTCTGAGTGAACAGGTATAGTTTGATCCATGTGGAGATGGGGTGTGCTATCACCTCCTTTATTCTAGATACTGTATTTCTTTCCTTGTAGTTTGGAATCACATCTTCTGTAACAAATAAGCGCATTGCATTAATGACTCATATTGAGTTCACCAAAAATATCAAATCCCTAAACCTTGATTTTTTACATTCACATATAGAACCTCCCATTTATACCTCCCAAGCCTCAGTCTAAACAGACATATATGGTGGGTGGTGGGGTGAAGGTGGGGAGATGTTGATCAAAGGATACAAAATTTCTGTTAGGAGGAATACGTTCAAGAGAACTATAGGAAGCATGGTGACTATGTTGAATAACAATTTAGTGTGTGCTTGAAAATTGCTAAGAGAGAAAATTTTAAGTGTTCTTATCACAAAGAAATAATAAGTGAGGTAATGCATATGCTAATCAGCTTGATTTAGCCATTTCACAATGTATACATATTTCAAAACAAAACAAACTGTATATATAACGTGTGTGTATGCATATGTGTATGTGTGTCTATATATAGACACGTATGTATGTATCTAATTATATAGAGTATATATCTCTATGTGTATATATATATACACACACACATACACACATATACACAGTTTCAGAGAATACTTGGCAAACAATCTCCTCTAAATAGAAATTACCTGTCCAGGATCTATTGAAAGAGAAACTAAAACTAGCAATTTTAGCTCCTGCCTTTTAAAATTTTACCTGCTTCTTCCTCTTTCTGGGGGGAAGAACATGCTACTTCTATGTCAGCAATTAAAGTCTTTTTTAGCTGGTAACGTGGAAGTGTCATCTCAATCCTTCATTTTCTATTAGAGTAATGAAAATTTTAGAATAGAACACACTTTCTCTTTTGTTGTTAACTAAATATTTTGCTAGATTTCTTCCTCTGCCTACATGAGACCATTTGCTGAACCATGCCTCCAGCTAATCTGCTATATTAAAGCAAATGATAAGTCCTAAGAGGAATGCCAAAAAAAAAAAAAAAAAAAAAAAGGAAAGCGAGTGAGATAAAAAGAGAGAGAGAATGCAACTGAGTTTATAATCTAAGAGATTAGGTTAAAAATCCAGAAATAATTATATAAATAATCATAACATAGGCCAGCATGGGTCCCTGGGAGCTACAAAAGCACTGTTAAAAATGATTAGAGGAGGTGAATACCACATTCTACACTTGTGCTAGGATTTGAAGAATGGGCAGATGTTTGGTAAATGAAGGTGAGGAGTGTGATAATGAGTATATAGGCAGGAGGATTAATACAAGCAAAGCCACTAAGTCACCAAAGGATGGCCCTTGTTTGAGCGAAGTAAATTTATATTACCTGGATAGTAAAGAGTAAAAAGCCCTAAAAGGCAATAAAGGCAAGTTGGGACAAGAAAGCCACATAAGGGGCTTTGTCCTTATTAAGTGTGTGGTGGGATCTGATCCACTGAAGTTTATAGGAGAGAAGAGCAAGATGATCACAGCAAAGCTCTAGGCTATGATGTGAAGAATGGTCAAGACAATGGGGCAGGGTCCTGGAAGCAGAAATACCATGTAGGACCCTGGTGATCTAGGCACAGGAATGCTGAAGATCTGAATCCCGGATGGTGACCATGGGAATGGAAGCCTAGGTTCTTGAGATACAGTCACATCATTTTAACATTTTTTCAAATCTGCTTTTATCCTTTGTGTTTAAAATGTGTGTACCTGTGTGTGCGTGCATGCATGTGTGTGTATGTTGGGGTGACCTAGATGATCCTTCTAACTTGGAGATTTTATGATGACACTTGAATACCTGATATATCAAGTGATCAGAATTTGGGGCAAAATAGATGCGTATATGGTTCTCTTCTAATGTGTTTATCAGTCCTTCCTTTTCTTTTCCACTTTAGGTCTCCCCATCCATCATCATTAAGAAAGAAGGGCTGCTGGGCACGGTGGCTCACTCCTGTAATCCCAACACTTTGGGAGGCCAAGGCAGGCGGATCACCTGATGTCAGGAGTTCGAGACTAACCTGGCCATCATGGTGAAACCCCGTCTCTACTAAAAATACAAAAATTAGCCAGGCATGATGGCGGGCACCTATAATCCTAGCTACTCAGGAGGCTGAGGCAGGAGAATCACTTGAACCGGGAGGCGGAGTCCGAGAGGTGGAGTTAGCAGTGAGCTGAGATCTCATCACTGCACTCCAGGCTGGGTGACACAGCGGGACTCTGTCCCCCCAACCCCCTCAAAAAAAAAAAAAAAAAGAAGTACATGTGGACATGGAATTTAAAAGTGAAATTTTATAATTCCATGATATGAAATTACCATAGGACTTGATAGATGACATGCATTCAATTTCTAGTTTTGTTATAAGTTGTATGATGAGAAATATATCTTTCAATACCTCTGAACCTCATTCATGAAACAAGGAGCAGCCCATTTCAGTATCATGCGGAGCAGATTTTCAAATTATTCAGGCCTGAGATTTTGATATAGGCGTCCCCCCTACACCAGCCTAGAACCTCTTGGAATGAATGAATTCTAAGTTTCTTTCCAGATGTAAAGTTGTATTATATAATTTAATTTTGCACAACTTCTCTCCAAGTCACTTCCTCATTCTACCCTGTTTAGTTCCAGTTTTCAGCCACTAGAGATAGAGGCAACTTCCTGGGACTTTTGAAACTATCATTTGGAGCCATCTTCCCATTGGAAAGTAAAAGAAGAAACAAGTTATGCTAATGCCTTGAAAGCTGCTCTTCAAGAGTCACATATTACTCCTGACCCCAGGTGGGAAATGAGGTAAGTCTAGTCAGCTCCTGAGGCCTTGGCCAGCTAAATCTTGGAACCCAATTTCTACCTTAACTGTCAATGGATTTAGGATTCCAGTCCATTGCCCTTCAGTTTTGCAACCATATGGGACTTCTTTTCATGGCAGAAAAACAATTTGGGGTCTGTGGGCTTAATGAAAAATAGCAAGTCAACAGGTAATAGAGTTTTACTCTCTATTTTTCCTCCTTAGAGACAGCTGAAAGTTGCGAATCTGCACACAATGAAACTCTACAGTCAATCCCACTGGATCATTGGTAACGAACGTAATTCTGCTTTACCAAAATTCAACATGCCCCACCAAATCCCACATCCCTTTTAAATTCATCTCCAGAGCATACTAGCTCACAGTGCCTTCTGAAACTTCTAACAAATTGTCACCTCCTCTAACACATACCATATTGCTATTATTCAAGGAAAGACTGATATCAAGAGAAAAATCCAAGTTAAATGTGCAAAGCCTCCATCAAATTTGAAGTCATTCTCAACTTTTATGGACCAGTGAAAAGCAACAAAACATGTTCTCCCTTAATCTTTGCTCATTACTAAACAAGACACCTCAGGTCAATTTTACAGCAGAGAGTCAGGGTGCCATGGAACACAGTGTGGGTGGATGGCCTCTGAGCAATCTGCTTTGGTAGCTGGGTCTTTGTAAATGGCCTAAAATTATGACACTTCCTCAGTGTTTGTTGCTGCCCACACGTGCACCATGAATCAAGGAACAATCACTTCACATGCCAGAGTGCTGGCAATGAATATTAATCACAAAGAAATGGAACAAACAGTGACGGTACTCAATTTTCCGAATACCATTCTACAAACTGAAGCCATCCTAGAAATTCTGGAGAGAAAACACCATGGTAACCCTTTTTCTTATGTTAACTGACAATATTCAAGTTATTGAAAGAATATATAAATGCAAAAAATGAGATATCTATTGCCCTAAAGATTTCATTTGATTTGGCTTTTAAAATGAGATCTTTAAAGCATTTTCTCTTTATCTCAGAATAAAGGCCAGTTTTGTTCAGTAACAGTTCTAAATTGAACATCCTGCCATCCATCAATGGTGTGTACTACAGCTGCCTATGCTTTTTCCTCCAGGGCAGTAGACAGCATTTTGACACTAATGGTCATTTTCTTGCTCACAGAATTGAATTTTTTTGTGTATTATCTGTCACTTCCTTCCAAATATCAGTTTATTAGGAGTTAAACTGGAATTGCAGAACAAGATTGCTTCTTTGGGCATTATTAAGAATACAAAATCAATGCCGTGTGAAGTATTTGAGTGCTGCAGGCCACTGATGAGCTTTTAAATGAGTTATGGGGCATAGAAATCAGGTTAATGGGGTTAACGCTCTAATTTACACAGTGTCCCAAGGTAACTGACTTCTTAATATATTTAATGAGATGTAAAAAAAAGTCCACCACCAAAGCAAACTTATATGTTTCTAAATGCACACATAATGTACAGGTAAATTTACAGACAACTTTCTGGATGGATAGATCCAAAATTGATAAATGCAGTTAGCTCTGGGGAAGAGTGAGATTGAGTGCTGGTCAACAGAGATGTCAGTTCCATGTTTGTTATTTACAGTTTCTAGAGTAAAAGTGTATGCGTGCATTATCATTTAAATGAAAAATAATTAATTAATAAAAAATTGTATTAACAACTCAACAACTGAGGCCTGGGCTGGATGCAGCCTGCACCAGGCAATGGTGTTCTTTCTTGCCTGCTGGGAGAAGAGCCTAGCCTATGTCTACCTTCCTTTCTTCCTTTCTTTCCTTCACTTCTACTCCAGCTCTCAGTGCTTTATGCAAAAGTACTTCTCCCTTCCCCGCTCCCCCCCCGCCCCGCCACTGAATGTAATAGTAAATGTCCCAGACATTCATGGTACTGGTTGGTCTCTTTGTATGTCACTCTCCCCTTTCTTCTTTCTGTATAAAGGGGGAATATGAATAAGTGGACTCTTGACCTTGAATATTTTAAAACATTTAAACCACGAGGAAGATAAATGGTACTGTTGCTCCTAAGCATCATATTCTGACATGGAATCTTTAACCACAAACATTTGTCTCTGACCCAATCACTCTTTTCTGCCAAAACATGTTCCATGGATTCCCATAATCTAGAATTAAGTTGAAGCTCTCTTGCCTGGTACTGTATGACTCGAAGTTACTATTCCTACCTATATCCCATACTTTCATTTACAGACCCCATAGTGCATTCCAAAAGCCCAACAGAGATCTGTCCCAGTAAAACTTAAAAGACGTGGTTGATCAGTATGCAGAACCACTGGAGTGAATTCTATGTCCTAACTGCATGCACTCCGTAACAACACACTATTGAATCATCTCAATTATCTTCAATGATGATATAGATCGAGAGGCAGTGAAAGTAGCTTTGAATTACAAGCTACAAGACCTATCCAAGTTTCAGTCCTAGCATGATTTGGGGCAAATTCATTAGCCCTGATATTCTTATTTGCCACAGGGAAAATAATATCTACCTTGTCTATCTTATGGAGTCATTTGGAGGAAAAAGTATTTTGAAAGGGCCCTGAAGGGCCAATCGAATGGAAGAAGATATGTATTTTGGATTTTGTGTATTTGAGGATGAGTATGATGCTCTCTTCTTTTTACCTGTCTTCATAGAAAACCTATCCCCATCCATGCTTTAATTTTCTAGATGATATGATGCTTTGTTTAACATCATCCTTAATCCATTTTAAATTTTCTTGATTCTTCCCTGAGTATATAAAAGCATATTTATCTGTATTTTTCAGAAGTATCAATTTCCCAGAGAAACACTTTAAATTTCTGCAGTAAGAGCTTTCTCTTCCTTACCTATTCTAATGTTCTACACATCAAAGGGTCCATAACATTTTACAGGACTTGTTGGTAGTACAATGAGAACTATGTGCGGAGGACCCTGCCATATCATGGGAAATTCCCCAGGTCTGAAGGGAGAAGATGCCAAGTCTACTTTATCACTAACCAGCTTTGTGACCAGATCACAAATCACCTAACCTTCTTGAGCATGGGTCTCATTGCCTATACAATAAGATAAACTTTGTAGGCTTGTGGTAAGGAACATGAGATCATTTGCACACAAAATATGGCATGGCAATTTTAATGCATTTTACAAATGCTAAGAGGAGGAATGAGAGAAGGAATGTGTTTGCCATGTGTTGTTTGACAATTACAGCCACCAAGACACCTATATATTGTAGAGTTGTCCAAAACTGCATGAAAACAGATGGTGTTTGTGGTGTAGGATGGCATCTTTAACCACAAACATTTGTCTCTGATCAAATCACTCCTTTCTGCCCAAACACCTTCCATAGAGTCCCATAATCTACAATTAAGTTGGAGCTCTGTTGCCTGGTATTGGGTGACTCAAAGTTACTATTCCAACTTACATCCCATATTTTCACTGATAGACCCCTTTCTTCAGTCCAAATAAACTGCTTCCCATTAATCATATAGTCCCTGGAATTTCTTCTGGCACTATTTATCCACCACTTAGAATGTTATCTCCCATTTTTACATGTCCTGGCCTTTAAGATTCAATTCATATATAATTTCCCTCACGATCTTTCTCTGAGCCTTATATTTTGAAGTACTCTCTCTCTTCGTTAAAATTCCATAAAGTGTTTTTATTTTACTATTTTTGCCTTTTAGTATTGTTATCTATGCACATGATTTATCTTCCTAACTACAATGTAAACTTTTGAGGGTAGAACTCTAGCTGTTTCAGCTTCATAGCAGGTACAGCTTGGCCTACTATGCTGCACCGAATAAAAACTCAATGAATGGGTAAAGAATGAATGGATGAGAGAAACTATACTCAGTGGTTAAGATAGGAGAATATCAAACTCTAACTCTCTTCAGGAGATTGGTGATTGGAGATAAACAGGTAAAGTCAGCCATATATAAAATTCTGAAGGAGAAATGTCTCATAATGATTTATAATTATGTAGTTAAGTACTTAAGCACAAAGATATTTTGCTGGAATTCAAGTTCACTACTATTAGGCTGTGCTTACTGCTGTGCTTCACCTTAAGTTCTGTAGAGTCTAACTTAAAACATATATAACATATTGTAATGATTAAGTTTCTGGAATTGATGGGTTGCAAAATGTCTGTCAGGGTTTGCAGCTTACAAAGGACAGCAGAGTTGAGAGAGGGAAGAGGTGAGGACTTGTACCTGATCCCTGCTTCAGAGTCCTTCCTAGCTGAAAGGTAATCGGTAATGTCAGGAACAAAAAGATCTGGAGACAAGAAGTTGGATTCGATGATTTCTACAGCTTCATTCTCATTTTGCGATTCTAGGTGCTTGGATATTTCTCTGGCACTCTTGATCTATCATTAAGGATGTGTCAGATGTATCACTTTATTGGCTCTAAACAGACTCTTCAAAGGGCAAGCATGGAAATGAAAGAAAAGTAAGACGTGGTCTCCCTGCCTCACACATCGTGAGAAACAACAGATTTCTGTCATGGTTTAGCTAGCCTGTGACTGATCCATGGAGCACACAACCAAAATGTTGCATTTTTTTCTGCTTACAACCCTGTTTATCATGCATTACTGATCATAGGAAAGGATGCTGACACTGTATGGTCCAAAGAGTCCTCATACTTGCCTCTCCCCTTCACCCATCTTTTTTTTTTTTTTTTAAGACAGAGTCTTGCTCTGTTGCCAGGCTGGAGTGCAGTGGTGCTATCTCGGCTCGCTGCAACTTCCACCTCCTGGGTTCAAGTGATTCTCCTGCCTCAGCCTCCCAAGTAGCTGGGATTACAGGCATGTGCCATCAAGCCCAGTTAATTTTTGTATTTTTAGTGGAGACAAGGTTTCACCATGTTGTCCAGATGGTCTCGATCTCTTGATCTTGTGATCCATCAGCCTCGGCCTCCCAAAGTGCCGAGATTACAGACGTGAGCCACCACGCCAGGCCCCCTCCACCTATCTTATATGTGACAAAACTTTCCTTTTGTTACTGATTACTGCACACATTGATAGTGGTCTAGGAGTCCTAAGAGGGTCTGCTCTCAGGTGAAAAGGAGGTTCAAGGTTTTTGTACGGGGATGGTAGAATGAACTTGGCTTCCGCATTTCTAGCAGAGCATAGTGTTATTAAAGGACAGGAGGGCTCCTGCTGCAGCTCCACAACCAAGAAAAATACTGGAATTGAAATAACATAATCACAGAGTTTCTTATATTTTTATCAATTGAAATACATTTATATTCTGCCTGTTAAAAAAAAACAAAAACAGAAAATGATTTGATATGGCTCCATTCAGCAAACATGGTGACAGGCTCGGATGCTTGATTATGTAACAGAATGGAGAAAAACACACCTCCTCTCAAGCTACACCCTTTCTCGATCTGAGGATAAGACTTTGTTTTTGAAGTAGCTGTGGGAGACAGGACTAAAACAACTAGCATTTCCTGCTGTTCTCTGAAATGTTCCTGTTTTTCACTGGTGGACTGCTGGCTGGGGAACTGGTCACTAATCTTTGTCAGTATGAAGGCAGTATGCCCCTCAGTTGAAACAAGAGGTCACACCAGGTGATTGGCTGGAATCTGCAGCCAGCTGCATCCCCACAGAACGCCATCCGTGCTGCACACACATAGCATGGATCTTTTTCCTCTCTACGAATGTATCTCCATCGTCTCAAAAGAAGCGGCAAGGACATGATGCAAAGTTGGCAATTTGGATCCTTGACACTTATTAGCTTGACATTGAGTCTCCCATGCCTACTTCCATTCAATTTGTTAAAACCTGAAATGCAGTAATTTAGGTCCATGTTCGTTCATCCTTCTGAATCAGCAGGCTTCTAAATTTTTAACTGTGTCCTATGGAAATAAATACATTTTTCTTTGCGACCCAGTGCACACACATACACGGAGAAATAATTTTCATGTGATACTACCTCACTCCATGGGAGGTACTCGGATGTCTTCTATTCTAAACTATTCGAAATAAATACAAATGTTCTTCCTAACGCACTAAGTTGATTTCATGACTTGAAATTTGAAAACCATTGTTTAAAACTCTAAAGGCTTTGACGGTCGAAAACCAAGCCTTATCAGTCTCTATCTCTTAGCGTGTCTTTGCACATAGAAGAAAGTCAAGAAATGTTGTTAAATAAATAATTATTTTCTAAGTGAAAAAAAAAACCTCTTTGACAGCATTGCCCAAACAATCTTTTTCCTCCCCAATTTGCGTTGCACTTGTGCAGAGAACGTAGTGGGCACTCATCAGTTGCTTGTGGAAGGACTACAAAAATCTATAAAAGATTCATGCTTAATGTCCTCATTGAAGGAAGGAATAAGAAAAGGGGAAAGAAAGGAAGAAAGGCAGAGCCAGCTCTGTTCATCTTCAAACAAAAGGTATAAAATCATGCTGGCACGGAGGATCCGGAAAGACTGAAGATCTGCCCAGTTTCCTGTTGGCCAGCGAGACCTCCATGTGATTTATTATTTAATTGTTGCTAGACAAAACACTGCTAAAGGGGGAAACATGTTTAAATCACAATGGCAATTTAAGGTAGAACATGACTTGTCCCTTGACTTACAGCCCCATTACCTGAATCTTCAGTAAACTGATCCTCTAAAATCTCCAAGTAATGAAAATGAACTAATTCGCCTATAACCAAAGCTCACCCATATTTCCATTTGCTTTTCCTGTACCGCTGACTTTAGACATATGACTGAGCATATGTGTTAAACTTCAGCCTCAATATATTTATGTAAAAAACATTTTCCTAAGAAAATATATTCAAGGTGTACCCAGTGAATATCATTGAGAACTTTGTTACATTGAGTGTGGTACTAGATCGTGGGGTAGAAAAAAGTGAAATCTGAACAATTTTCAACCTAGTTGGTGGAGGCAGCCGTATACACAGTAAGCCATGCTACTGTATTTCAAGTGTTGTGCTCTAGGTCTGAGCGAGGAGGCATGAATACTCAGAAAGACAGCTACACTTTCTGCCTTCAGGGGAGGTGATGAGCAGGTCTTTGAAGACTGAGTGGGATTCACCTAAAGTAGAAGGATAAAGAGCATTTGGATTAGTGGGGACTGTATGAACTTGGCTGTCAGGAGCAGGTAAGTGTAGAATGCTTTCGGGATTGCTTAGTGGCTGGGTATTTCTATTGCCTAAAGGTCTATGGTGCAGGGAGAGAGAGAATAAGTAAGTCCCCTATTAAGTTTGGGAAGCTGAGGCAGGAGAATCGTTTGAACCTGGAAGGCAGAGGCCACAGTGAGCCGAGATTGTGCCATCGCACTCCAGCCTGGGGGACAGGGTGAGACTCCGTCTCAAAAAAAAAAAAAAAAAAAAGGCATTAAGTTGAGAAGAAACGTGGGTATTATGGTAGAGAGTTGAGTATTTATTGAACATTTAAACATGTACTACTTTGCTTTTTCTCTAATTGTTGAGTGTGCAAATTTTGTCCTCCCCAGTGTGTGTGTGTGTGTGTGTGTGTGTGTGTGTGTGTGTGTGATGTGGAATTATACAGCCAGAAGGGGACTGAGGTTATTCAGCACCAAGCCACTAATTTTATACATGAAGAAACAGAAGCATAAGTCATTTAGTTAAAAGGGTCTTTTCCCGGGGATTGGAGAGAACTCAGCTATGTATCTGTTTGCATACAGATAGAAAGTAATCTTCCTGCTGCTGTTGTATAGACTGGCTCTTTGTCAAGAAGAAAAACAGCTCATTGTTTATTTAAATTGAGCAGGAAGGAAGTGCAGGAACAGGTGGGTGTACCCGATAATCTCACTATTCAGGACATCAGGACACAAAGGAGTGTGGTATAAAGGTAGCTTTGATTTGAACACTTTCCAAGGGAGCTGAGCTCCAGAAGCTCCAGAAGGACTTGGTAATGAGGCAGTTTTATGCTGAAAGTAATCCCAAGCCAGAGCCTTCAGACTCCACCAGGGAATCTGTTACACTCAGTTATCAAGAGCATGCATGGAAGGTTGTCCCCTCCTCGGGGATGTATTAATAAAAAAGTTATCCTCAGCCAGCGTGCAGGAATTCCTCGGCTTGGTCACAACGAGGTTTTGGGGAGAGGCCAAAATCCCATGAATACCCCTGGGTCTGAAAGTATTAGCCTCCTTTGTTGAGTCCTGGTTTTGACCTCCACTGGGATGTAGTGAGAAGGCCAAAGGATAAGATGTGACCCAGGAAGTTGCTCCTCTGAAAGGCACCACCTGGAGGAGTTGGAGAAACTCCTCCTCTCCCCTGGTTCTTCTCTTGGTTTCCATGGACACCAAGCCTGAGTCTAGACTATATTCATCCTAGTCATAGGACAAAGCCAGGGTTTCTTGGCATGAGCAGTCAAGGAGCTTGCTTGGAAAGATCCTATCCCAAGCGGGGAAAGAGTTGAAGTATATAAACTTGATGCAAGGAAAAAGCTTCACTTCTAAAGGGAGGGACCAAGTCACCTTAACCTCTGGTCCACGCCTGGCCCATACTTACAACAAGGGAGGTGGACCTCAAATTCAAGTCAGTACTGAACTGCAGCTTCATTAAAATGTCTGTGGGGACTGAGATACAAGGCTTTGTAGCTTATGAAATCTGCACAATGGGTCCAGAGATGGTTTTGTCAGAGGTGTTTGAACCAGAGAGACCCCATCTTGAATGAGGGCTGGGAAAAATGAGGCTGGGACCTGCTGGGCTGTGTTCCCAGAAACTTAGGCATTCCTAGTCTCTTGATGTTTACGGTAAAGGGAACAGATTGATGACGTTAACTAAACAGACCCAGACTCAGGAGCGTCCTGATATCCCAATATCTTGAGAACAGAAGCATTCCTAATTTTGCTTTAAAGATAATAATATCGATACGTGCAAAATATAGTAATTAAGAAAATGAATCCTTTATCACAAACCCATGTAGCAGAGCATATGTCCCCATGATCTTTTTTAATCCTGTATATAAACAAGTATTGGATCTAGGATGAACGTGTTCTTCCTCTTACTCTCGGAAATGCGTTACTCTGTCTATGGAGCAGCTGTTCTTTCACCATTTTACTTTCTTACTAAATTTACTTTTGCTTTGCACTGCGGACTTGCCCTGAATTCTTCCTTGCACGAGATCCAAGAGCCCTCTTTTAAGGTCTGGATCAGGACCCCTTCCCGGTAACAGTTTGTCTACTGCTAAGGAAGGCTACGAGGGCTTCTTAGCATGGTCAAGTAAGGAATGACTACAGTGGAGGCTGCTTCCCTTTCTAAGAATGAAGACGAATACTAGGGATTTTGCTAAGAAAAAGTCATTCAAAGTTGAACAATTTGCCATGGAAATACAGATGTGCTTAATGGCAGCACCAGACTCCAGTTTGCTTTCTGCACACTGTGGCAGTTGTTTTTTTTTCTCAGCTTGACAAAATTATAAAGGAAGAACAAAAATGTGACAAAAGGTAACTGGCTGGCCACGAACCCATGAAAAAGCATGACTTCCTCCAGAAATCAAGGTGCCACCCGTACAATGGAGGGACAGTGCAGGCTCACATGCAGCTGCTTCCTCTCAAGTGATTTTACCGTAAAACATTCAGTGACAGCTTCTGTCCTCGACCACAAGCAGGCAGAGTTAATTATTTTCTTCATTTCTATAAAGGTCACAAGCCAAAAAATGAGCATGACAACTGAGGCAAAAGTGTGATGGTCTTTCAGTAAATACACAGATAAAGCACATCACATAAAGCATGGTAATGGCTGTTTGCCTTTGGGGAAGGATGCTTCTAGGAGGAAAATAATAATTTCTAACTGCTTAAAAGCCTTACTGCCTAATTCCTGATAAAACACTCAGATATTGGCTTTAATCTATATAACACCTGATTTCATGGCCAGGACACTTAGCCAATGGTATTCCAGGATGCTATTGGCCAAAGATCCTCCCCTCCCACATGGCACTTATATGTCTGGGTCAAGCACCCCCGGGCCTCACATGTGCAACTGAACTTCTGACTTAATTTCCAGAGGACAGATATTTGCCAGGCTATGCTTGAAATGATAAACTATCTCTTTGTTTAAGATTCTCAACAGTTCCATCAGTCTGTTTGATATTCTTTCTATAACCACAGACAAAATTAGAGGATGAGTTCTTATTTTTCTGCTTATGTCTGTTAAAATGGCCAGAATACTTACCATGATAGGGTCTGAAACAGAAATGTATTAAACAAGTCAAAGAAAAACGGTTCCTTCCAGTATTGTGACACTGTGTTGCCTTAATCGATCAAGAGGGCATTGGTAAGGCACTTGGCAGAGAGGGCTTTGAGGAAGGCCTACCAGTTGGCTGCTCTCCTGTTTTGTCCAGGCCCGAGGGGAGTGACCACCAGGAGCTTCCTTTGATGTTCCTACATCAAAGGATTATAGATGGAATTAAGGTCTTAGAAACCATCTTGTTCAATATCTTCCATTTAGAGTTAAGAAAATGGAGAGAGGAAATGACCGAGTCAGCGTCTCCTGACTGGTGAGGGTGCATTCGGGTCAGCCCTGTGTCCTGACTCGCTGGGCTGTGCTCTTTCTTCTAAGCAATGCTGCTTTTACCTCTTGGAGACATGTGACAGAGCAGTCAATAATAACGAAATGTTACATGGCACTGCCCCTTCTTAAATGTACTTTTAAAATACAAAGTCCATATTAAAAAAAAAAATCCCAAATACAAACAAAGCGAATTTTGAAAATCTCATGGAATGAATAGGGGAACTTTCCACCTCCTCAGCCCATTGGTACTAAGTGTTCTGAAATTAGGACTGAGGAACCACCAATCAAAAATATGGTTGTTTCAGGGGGGTGAGAGTCTGTAGGGTGGTCCTGCAGAGGTTGGGTGTAGGAGCCTAGCGGTGTCCACAGCTCAGGGACATCATTGGTCTTCTTTGCTCACAGGGAAAATGTCACCATTAATGGTCTTATTTTCTTGTAAGCAACTTTGGTTTTATTTTTTGACATGGAGTCTCCCTCTATTGCCCAGGCTGGAGTGCAGTGGCACAATATTGGCTCACTGCAACCTCCGCCTCCTGGGTTCAAGCAATTCTCCTGCCTTAGCCTCCCAAGTAGCTGGGACTACAGGCACGCGCCACCACACCTGGCTAGTTTTTTTGTATTTTTAATAGAGACGGGGTTTCACCATATTGTCCAGGCTGGTCTCGAACTCCTGAGCTCGTGATCCGCCCGCCTCGGCCTCCCAAAGTGCTGGGATTACAGGCGTGAGCCACTGTGCCAAGCAGTAAGCAACTCTTATCCATGTGTGTTCCACAGACATTTCATTTCTGAATCCTGAAGGCATCATGTTAAATTTCACATACACCGCTTTAAGTCACACATATTTTGACTGAGGGTGGAGAGGTAAAGAATGTAATATTAATATATTTTCTAGCATTTTGCATGTATTATCTCTTTTAGTCCTAACAGCAACCTCAAGAAGTACATATTTTAATCTTTATTTGACAGATGTATGAATATAAGCTCAGAAAGAATTTCCACAAATACTTAGGCCCACTAAATGAGCAGGGCAGGATGAACTGAGTTCTTTCAGATTTGAAAATCCATGATGTTTTAAAAAGGCATATTTCACAAACAGTCCATCCTAAATGACAGTTCCAAGGCCCAGGTATCATTTTGCTATTAAATTCCTTGAAATAATCGCAGAGATTTCAAATATCAAGTATTTTTCAAATTCTTCAAAAATAGAGGCAGGTACAGTATTTGAGTAGAGACAAAAATAGTAATTATAAGGGGCTCTTATTTGGTGTTTCTATGTGTCAGGCAATGTTCTAAGTGCTTATTGGACATTAAGTCATTTGATTACCCTAGCAATTCTGAGGCTCTGAGGGAAGTACTACTGTTATTCCCATTTTAGAGATAGGGAAATTGAGCACAGAGAGGGTGAGTAATTTTCCCAAGGTCACACAGTAAGTGGCAGAGCTGGGTTTCACATCGAGGCAGTCTGCCTCTGAGACCCTGCTTTAACCACTCTGCTGTGCCATCTGTCCTAGCCTTCCCCAACCTGAAGACCACATGAGTCAAACAATTTTTAGTAAAACTGTTATAAGATGAAACACAAAAGATTGATATATTGAAATTTATCTGAAAATACATGCTTTTTTGGTATAGAAAGTAAAATACAGTAACAGATAGCAGGTGTTTTATAACTAAAGTTGCTGGAATAATCCTTGATCTCAATGGAAACCAAGCCAATCAACATAAAAAATTTAAAATTTCTTTTCTTTTTCAAAAAAAAAAATCATTCAGTCCTTGCAGTCAATTGAACTAATGCCTTCCCAGTCCCAGGGGGCTGTACCAACTGGGAAAATCTTTGACCAAACTGACACCAATACTATAGCTTTTGGTAGGAGAGGCACAGACTTGCAAAGCTAGCGGTTTTTCTTACTTTATAATTGAGGAAACCGAAGCTCAGAAGGGCCAAAATTCCCACTGTTGGAATTAGACTTAGAACTGCCAGTTCTACTCATACCTACAGTTAAACAATCCACTTCGCCACAGAGATTCATTAACTTCACTCTGCTTTAATCACAGAGATGGAAAGAAATTAAAACAAAGCAAAACAATAACAGCAACAACAAAAGCAACGTCAAGGACATTTCAAGAAAGCAAGTGTCTGCACACCTGCTGCAGCAGGTCACATATAGTCACAGATCTAGCCCTCATAGTGTGCATCCCATGCATCAGCAGGTCCCTTTGGCTCTACTTTAAATTTGCCCCAAATCTTAGTCCAAGCCATGACCATTTCCTGAAAGTCTCTGAAGTGATTTCCTTTGTTCATCTTAGATCTCCTCCCATCCGCTATCCGCACAGCAGGCAGAGTGACACTTCCAAAACCTAACTCAGATCACATCATTCCTTAGCACAGGGTCCCTCTGATATCCTCCATTTTCTTAGAGCAAAATCTGCATTGATATTCTAGCTCCCAGGTGCCTTCCCGACCTTCTCTCATACCCCTCTCCCCTTGCCCACTGTTCTCTGTCCGTTCTGCATCTATGCTGTTCCGGGAATACTCCAAATGTGCTCCCACCTCAGGCTTTTGCACCTCCTCGTTTGTCTTCATTGACCTGGTCCCTTCCCAGAGAGCACCCTCACTTCAATCAGTTCTTTGCTTAAATGTTATTATATTAGACTGTCCTTCCCTGAATACGCTATAGAAGCCATCTTATTCATGCTCTACCCTTTGTAATAATTTTTCTTCATGCCAGTTATGGTCCCACAACATTGTGTGTGTATAAGTGTGTGTATATATACACCTGTGTGTGTATCTATGTATGTGTACCTATATAGGTGCATATATATATGTGTATATATCTGTATGTATGTATACACACGTGTATATTTATGTGCATGTGTCTATGTGTGTATTTATGAATGTATCTATGTGTATGTATATCTATGTGTGTGTAACTATGTGTGTCTATGTATGTATGTATGTGTCTATATCTATGTGTGAATATCCGTATGTGTATATATGTGTATCTCTGTGTCACCATGTGTGTATTTGTGTGCGTGTATTTCTTTTTCCTAACAGAAACAGAATCTCAAAGGGAGCAGTAGCTGTGTTTACTTCACCATTGCCTCCCTTGTATCTAGAACGTAGTAGGTGTTTAATAAATATGTGTTGAATGAGGAATGAATAATTTATGATAACAGATATCTGAAACACAAAGTTAAATTGTCTCCTAGGTGTTAGAAAAAAGAATGTAAAGAATTACATGCTGCACTTTATAATGATTTTTTAATTTAAAATACATTAAAGGTATTCTAGTTTTTCACACTTAGACACTGTAAAAATATTTGCAGTTCAATGTGACTTACTGCCTCGAATGAATTAATGAGCAGGGAAGGTTTTATTGTTAGGTGGCAACTATGTTGAATTTTTTTTTGTGGGTTAAATTTGTATTTATAAGATTTTTAAATTATCTGTGCATAGTAAAATATATGATGTTTATTAGGTTTATACAATCACTTAGCAAAAATAATATGAGTAATAGGTAATTTTTAGTGAAACGTGCTATTTCTAGGTACTAGTCTAAACCTTTTACCCACCCTATGTCATTTAATCTTCAAGAAGCCTGTGCAGTAGGTAGGAACTATCATTACCTTCAACATATAAATGAGGAAACAAAGACACACAGAGTTAAAATATCCTAATTGAGGTCACGTAACTAATCAACAGTGGCCAGAATACAAAAAGGCAATTTGTCCATTCTTCTATTCAGTCATCCATTTTTTAATTAAAAAAATGCCTTCTGTGTACTTACAATCTACCAGGAACTGAGTTATGTAACAAGGATGCAAAACAGTGACATAATCTCTACGGTCATGATGATCCCGGCATAGGACAGAGGAGTGGACCAGATGTCAGGCTGCCCAAGAGACCAGCTCCACCTGGGAAGACAGAAACCAGGCAAGGAGTCAGTTCCTTCTCCCACTTTGGATTCCTGTTTTTAATGGTGGAGTCATTAAGCATCATAGAATGATCCAATGTCTCTGTTTTCCCTCCCTAGAGTCTTCAACTGAAGTCATAAAAGAAAGGGACTATTTCAGTAGCAAGTTACCTAAGTGTTAATGTTTGGTTCTGTGGGTGGCCTTGAATTTGTAACTTTGCAGCGTGCCACTCTTGCTTCATTTCATCCAGGTTTTTCTTGACATCTGAAGAGGCAGTATCTCTAGGGAGTATATTTTTGTATTTCTCCATATGTTGCTTTTTGTCTCCTCACATATATTGCCAATAAGACTTGTGAGTTCCACCACAGGCCAGCTCTGCAACTTATGTTTAGTGTTGGCCTGGAAAGAAATATTATTATTTTTATTGGTTCATGTCTTTTCCTCTATTGTAGAAATGATCTTTTCTTGCATTTTCCCTCAGCAGATTGAGGCATTTTCTTCCATCTTATTTTATCCATATTTTGTACATTGCTTATAGGTTTTTCTCATTCAGGATCGTGTTTGCTTCTACCCTTTATCAAAAATCTATTTAACAAAGTGCCCTCCTCCCATATTAACTCTGTAGCTTTTCTATTGGTTACTTTTCCCGATACTTTTCATTTCTTCATTCCTGTAGATTAAGGTAATTTTTTTGCATATTTGCTTCTTTGCCACAGTCCTCTCCTGAAAATCTAGGCTACACTGACCTTGGTTTCCTCCAGAACATGGCTGCCACATAATACTGAAACCAGAGATGCACTGATGCTGAAGAACATTCTCTTTTCTCTCTCTCTGTCTTAGGTAGTCACTTTGCAGTCATACTCAAGTATGCCTATCGAGCATATTTACTCATCCGATGTTTCCTGTGTTTACAGAACAAATGGCAACAGGAACTATAAGATCGCAAAATGCAGCATCTCTTAATTTCCTTACAACCAAATGGGGAGCGAGGGTGGTGGGGATGAGCATATGTGATTTTAAAAAAGATTTTTAAAAAATTGTAGTAAAATACATGTAACATAAAATTTACCATGTTAACCATTAGGTGTAAAATTCAGTGGCATTAAGAATATTCACAATGATATATATCCTTCCCTAGAATGTTTTTCATCTTGCGAAACTGAAACTCTTTATCCACTAAACAATAACTCTGCATTTTCCCTCTTCCCAGTTCCCAGAAACCAGCATTCTATTGTTGGAGTCCCCAGGAACTCTATGTTCCTCACGTAAATGGTATCATATAGTATTTGTCATTTTGTGACTGGCTTATTTCACTCAGCATAATGTTCTCAAGGTTCATCTATGTTGTTGCACCTATCAGAATTTCCTTGCTGGACAGGTGCAGTGTTTCACACCTGTAATCCCAGCACTTTGGGAGGCTGAAGCAAGAGGATCACTTGAGCCCAGGAGTTCAAGGCTGCAGTGAGCTATGATCGCACCACTGCACTCCATCCTGGGAAAAAGAGCAAGACCCTGTCTCCAAATAAAAAAAAATAAAAAGAATTTCCTTCCTTTTTAAGACTGAATGATATTCCATTGTATGTGTATATTACATTTTATTTACCTATTCATCCATCAATGGACACCTAGGTTGCTTCCGTCTTTTGGGTATTGTGAATAATGCTGCTATGAATGTAGGTATACAAATACCTGTTCATATCATGAGTAATTCTAAAGCTCAAAGTCACAGAATGACAATAACATACATACACCACGAGAACTTACAGTCATATATAAGTGCTGAGTGTACTGTGGGAATCACTGAAGTCAAGTGAGAACTTTATAGAAGATGGAATTGTTGAGCGGCACTTTCAAGGTAGCAAGAGAGAAGATTTGAAGGCAAAGAGAGAGGGAGGGCACTTGGCATATGTGTATTGTGCATATAATCATCATAAAAGTTGAGAAATACATGGTGTAGAGGGCGGAGCAGGCATGGGGTGTTCTTTAGGCTAGAATAGATAGTACTGGCCTGAATAGATGAGGAGAATGCTAGTGAATTGATATAAAATACGAATGACCATGATTTTAAAGTTTTCACAGAGCAATCACTACAATGAAGCAACTGTGAATTTCTCAGAATTAAAAAGGCATCCGCTGGACTGTATGTCCCATAAGGACAGGCCTGAAGAAATTGCTTGGCCCACCACTGTAACCCAGTGCTGATCACAGCACGTGCACTGGCAGGTGCGCAGTAAATGTATGTTAAATACATGAATGAATGCATGAACTGCTAAGGATGATTGCCACTGATGAAGATGGGCTAAAGTTGAGAAGGCTGAAGTTGCAGGTTTTATTTGAAGGAATCAGGCCTTATTGGAATAGCTGAAAGAAATAACAAAGTTATTGGATCTGAAATACTTTAAGGAGGCAGAATCTTTCAGGCAGAGCCACTAGATCTCCTTGGTTAGGATTTTGTTTATAACTGTTGTCAATACCTGTGTTGGTTTGTCCCATGTTACTATAACTTTTTATAACTGGTGAGTATTTCAATAGATGTTAATTGTTTTCCACTCTACCCTGGATGTGTTCTTAACAGCTAACTCTGTTTTACAAGGCTGACTTTTGGTCAGTATTTTCTTGTTAAGATAATCATAATTCTAAGGACAAAGGAACACAAACGTGATCCTAATTTATAGATATGCGAATTGTTTTAGACTGCTTTTCCCCCTTACAGGGAGCAAGAATCAATATATTCATTAATTATCTTTTGCTTATCTGTAGATAAGAGGTTTTTATCATTTTCACCTAACTTTGTGATTATATGCCAGCCATAAATGAAATTCTATTGGCATTGCACAAGTATCGAACATTGGGACTGGGTTGTCTTATACATTAAGCAAGGGAAAAAGTCTACATTTGCACATTGAAACACCTCGATTGAAGGCACCGAGTCCACCTTGTGCAATCTTTGGTCCTAAATGGAAGAGGATCCATGTACTTGCTGACGGTTGTTCTCTGCCGTAGCTCACACCATGGCATCTCTGGTGATAAAATTGCAAAGCTTCTCTATGCTACATTCAAGATATAAAACAAGTGGTTATATTTTAGAGTAGAGAACAAAGATGTGTGATACGATGGCACAAGGAGCTGGAGTGAAATGCGGCCTCACCAACGAGACAGAGGGCACCGCCGGCAGCCTGGCATTCTGTGCCCGTAGCAGATGGTCACGCACATGCTCCCGAGTCACAGCCACAGGCACACGGGGAACCCTGCAGGCTCCTTTCGACAGTTATTATTCGAGAGCTGTTTTCTTTAGGTGTTTGTGAAAGGTCAGCGTCTGATCTAATTCCGCCCACAATTACACAGTTATAGTTTCCTTGACTGCATTTGTCACTCTTTTAGCATCATCTGACATTCTATCTGCTTGCCAGTTTTCTTGCTAATTCCTTTTGGAAAACTATTTTTTCCCCAAGTTTGTCATTTTACTTAAAAAAGACACCACAAAAGGGTCTTCTGTTCTATTGAGTTGTTCGCTTTTTTGGCCTTTCCTATTGGAAAAATCTCACATAAACCACTTCCTGATGAGAAAAATCATTTATTTAATCCTTAGCCTATGTTTATAATTGCTTCTGAAGGATGATTTCAGTGCATTAATAAGTGATTAAATTAAAAATATTTTAGAGAGTCGACAGTAATATATCCTTCTCACGGTACTGACTTGAGGCTGAGAGGGCGGGGATCAGGCATGAAGGCATTATGGTCCCAATGCTGAATGAACGAAATGCATAGAAAACCAGCATAAGCCGGGCTGGGTCCCAGGCATCTCACAGGTGGCCTCCCTGGACCAAGGCTGGGGGAATTGATCATAATTGGCTTGTCAACTGTCTGGGGCACATTAGATACCATCCTGCTCAAGGCACCAGGCTTCACTAGATGGTACCTGGAGGTCTCTCCTCTATGATTCTATGAGGCTATTGGTTTTAATATTCCCAGTTGAATATGATTATGTCATTGACTCTGAGCCTAGTTTCCTGAGGGATATTACCTTATTTGCCTCTTTCATTGAGCTTTCTTGATGATCAGATAAGATGGTGTAGGAAATAGTAATTTAAAATGTATAAAATGCTGCACAAATGTTAGAGCTTATTAGGTTATGTGCGAGGATAAATCGCTCACTTTGGCATAAATCTGTGATAAACTGTCTACCATTGGTTTGTAAAATTTCAGCCTTGAACTCCTGGGTACCTGGCGAACCATTATTTCTATTAACGTCTTTCTTTCTTTCTTTGAAGACCAGGGTTTTAGTCTATTTCTTTGCCACTTTGTAACTGTGGGGAAATTACAAGTGCTGGATTTGGGTCTCAACACATATCTTTTATGTTTCCTCCTATAACATTTTACTCTAAGTACCTATATTACTTGGGTAATGATGCAAACGTTGCAAATTGCCTAAGCTCCACAAAGGCACAACTTAATGAAAATCCCCTTTCCATGTCTCATTATTCAGCAATGATGTTAGTGTCCATAACACAAATTTAACTTTTATTAATTATATTCTTTGCTTTGCATGTTAGAGTCAACATGGGATTAAATAAAAGGAATTTCTGTGCTTACTGGGATTATGATAATTTATTTAAATATAACTAGAAACTTACTTCCTGGATTGAGATCTGGGGCTCAGTCTACATTTTTAAATCGGTGTCTGTAATTTTTCAAGTTGTAAAAGTTATTTGAAGTAGTATTGATTTGGTTTATGTAGAATAAGGATTCTTTAATATGCTCACATTTCATGCTAGATAAATCATTATAATCACCGCACATCCACCTTTGGATGTTCTGGTTAAACAAATAACACCATCCCTAGAAAGTAGAAAAGCTCTCTTGCAATTTGTAGTACTCGGTTTAGCTATCTTTAAGTTATTTCTCCATCCTTGTTTTAGAAACACAACCCAAGTTATAAGACACTCCAGGAATCTCAGCATCAGAACCAAGTTACGGGTACCATTTGTTGGTTACAAAAGGGCAAGAGTTGCCAATTACTATTTAATTGTGTTGGTTGTGGGGCCATACTTTCGAAAGATATAATTTAGTGAATTAGATTTCTATGCAGAAATATTTCTGTTAATGCTCATCTATTAGCTTCTGTACTAGTCTGTTCTCACACTGCTATAAAGAAATACCCGAGACTGGGTAATTCATAAAGGAAAGAGGTTTAATTGACTCAGTTCCACATGGCTGGGGAGGCCTCAGGAAACTTACAATCATGGTGGAAGGCAAAGGAGAAGCAGGCACCTTCCTCACAGGGTGGCAGGACGTAGTGAGTGCAGGCAGGGGAAATGCTGGACAGTTATTAAACCATCAGATCTTGTGAGACTCACTCACTATCACGAGGATGGCATGGAGGAAACTGACCCCATGATCCAGTTACCTCCACCTGGTCCTGCCCTTGATGTGTGGGGATTATGCGGATTACAATTCAAGATGAGATTTGGGTGGGGACACAGCCAAACCATATCAGTTTCCAAGTGTTCCAAGTACAGTTTTAGAAAACTGTATTCTGATTCTGGAATTTAGAAATTCTGTTCCAGCTAAATTTAAACTTCAATAAAGTAGTTTCAAATGTGATCACTTTCTATCCCAAAAGGGATTGTGTGTTGACGTGCATGGTGAGGGTTCATTTCTCATCCTAGTGGCTGGGAGACTGGTGCCCCTGGGGCCCCTGCCACTTGGTTCCTATTTCCCAGCCAGCACTGAGTGGTGTATGTCCCACTGGAAAGAGGGGCAATCAGAATGTACATCAGAGAATTTCTGGGAATATCCTGATAGTGGATGTGTGACTAGAGAGTCACTTAAAGACCAGCATTGATGTCAAAGTAAAGAAAGCAAGGTGGTTTTGCCCTGCCTTGTAGGACACAGCTCACACCTACCCCATATGCTGAAGTATGTTAACTGAGGCACAGATTACAAATGCCATTTTTATGTCAGATAAAACAGAGATCAATGTGTATATGTCTCATTAGAGACTCAATAGCTTCATCGAAAGTGTTGGTCAGCTTTATCCTGGATGTTGGAAACACCATAGAGTTAACAGGCCTTTTGAATTTTAAAAAACAACCATACCACAAATAATTTCTTCTAGCTTTGGGATGGCCACTGAACCCATGAAGTCAGAACATGTAGTTCTTTTTGTTGTGGATGGCGCATCACAAGAGGATAATAAACCCACATAAATCATGCAAGATTATACCTTTCCTAGTTTGCCCTCTTTTTGTCAGTGTAAGAGAAAGATAAGCAAGGAGAGAAGAAAAAGAAATTTCACTCAATGCCCATATTGTGTGAGCCCCTAGTGAACAATATATAAATTTAAATACTAACATTTTTTAAAATTTATTTTTCATTGATACATAATAGATTTGCAATTTGGGGGGTATATGTGGTAATCTGATACATTCATATAATGGTTCCTTTCTGGATAGTACTAATAAAATTATTTCAAGAAATGCATAGTTTTTTCTGGAATGCAGAACAGCAAGGGCACAACTTTTGGTCACCTGTTTTGTTGTCTTGAAGACCAACATGGCATCTTCCTGTTGCTGGGGCGCACAAACCAGTACCCCAAAATATGGCACTTTGTACATGCTGTACTGAAAAAAAAGCCTCAAAGTCTCTCTAATCACCTTTCTCCCCCCATCAACATCTCTCCCGAAGCATAGGATGAGATTGTTCTCTGAACTTCCCGTATTTGCCTAAAATCCGGACCTATCATAGAAGAAAACAATAACCTCTG